>NC_000010.11:84385519-84537034 GCF_000001405.40 Homo sapiens
TCAGTAAATGGTGCTTGGCAGATTGGCTAGCCATGTGAAGAAGAATGAAACTGCACCCCTGTCTCTCACTATACACAGAAATTAAGATGGATTAAAGACTTAAATGTAAGATCGAAAACTATAAAAATCCGTGAAGAAAACCTAGGAAAAACTCTTCTGGACATTGGCTTAGGCAAAAGATTTATGAGTAAGACCTCAAAAGTAAATGCAACAAATCAAAAATAGATAAATGGGACTTAATTAAGCTTTTGCACAGCAGAAGAAACAACAGAGTAAACAGACAACCTACAGAATGTGAGAAAATATTTCCAAACCATGCATCTGAAAAATGACCAGTATTCAGAATTTACAAGGAACTCAACAAGAAAAAAAATGTATAACTCCATTAAAAAAATGGGCAAAGGATATGAACAGACATTTCTCAAAAGAAGACATACAAGCAGCCAACAAACATAAAAAAAACTCAACATCAGTAATCATTAAAGAGATGCAAATCAAAACCACAGAGAGATTCTACCTCACACCAGTCAGAATGGCTATTATTAAAAAGTTAAAAAATAACATATGTTGGTGAGGATGTGGAGAAAAGGGAATACTTATAACACTGTTGGTGGGAATGAAAACTGAAAATTAGTACAACCTCTGTGGAAAACAGTACAGAGATTTAGCAAATAACTAAAAATAGAATTACCATTTGATCCAGCAGTCCTACTACTAGACATCTACCTAGAGGAAAAGAAGTTATTATATCAAAATGATATCTGCACTTGTATGTTTATCACAATAAATATAAATTATCAAAATAGCAAAGTCATGGAATCAACTTAAGTGTCCATTAGTAGTTGATTGGATAAAGAAAATGTGGTGTATATACACCATGGAATACTATGCAACCATAAAAAAGAATGAAACTGAGACTGGGCCTAGTGGCTCATGCCTGTAATCCCAGCAGTTTGGGAGGCTGAGGCAGGCGGATCACTTGAGGCCAGGAGTTCAAGACCAGCTTGGCCAACATGGCTAAACCCTGTCTCTACTAAAACTACAAAAATTAGCCAGACATGGTGGCACAAATGCCTGCGATCCCAGCTATTCGGGAGGCTGAGGCACAAGAATCACTCGAACCCAGGCAGAGGCTGCAATGGCGGAGGCTGCGGTGCGCTGAGATTATGTCACTGCACTCCAGCCTGGGCAACAGAGCAAGACTCTTTCTCCAGAAAACAAAACACAACAACAACAAAAGAAGAATGAAGCTGTATTCTTTGTAGCAACATGGACAGAGCTGGAGGCCATTATTCTAAGTATAATAAGTCAGAAACAGGAAATCATATACTGCATGTTCTCACTTGTAAGTGGGAGCTAAACAGTGGGTACACATGGACATAAACATGGAAATAATAGATACTGGGGACTTCAGAAGTGGGGAGGATGGGTGGGGGATAAGAGTTGAAAAATTACCTATTGGGTACAGTGTTCACTGTTTGGGTGATGGGTTTCTAGAAGCTCAGACCTCACCATTATGCAACATGTTCATGGAGTAAACTTACACATCATGAATCTAAAATCAAAAAAAAATCTGTATCCATGTTCAGGGCCTTTTTCATACTACTGCTACCTTGCCTACATTCCCAGGCTAAGACCATTTGAGATTATTTATATTTTTCTTAATGCTCCCATCTATTCCTCCTTTAAGGCTGTATTCAGACTTTTATTTTCTCCCCTCCCTCTAAGGGTTAACTGTTCAATGATGAGACCCCATGGCACTTTAAATCACACCCTGGTTTTCTGCCTTTCTCCTTCCTGTTGTATCGTGAGGACAGCCTCTTTTCATCTTTCTGTGCTGTGATACTGACTTAGTGTGTTTAGGTGCTCGATAAATGGCTCTTTCCCGTTAGAATTAATTACTCCTTTCTTCGTACGTCTAATCATGTTGCTTCCTCCTACTTTTGGCACTTTATTTCAGTTTATAGTATACTACTTTGTATTGATCTTCATACCTGCACTGAAGTAATTTTAATTTTTTTTTTTTTGAGACAGAGTCTGGCTCTGTGGCCCAGGCTGGAGTGCAGTGGTGCAATCTCAGCTCACTGTAAGCTCCGCCTCCTGGGTTCACGCCATTCTCCTGCCTCAGCCTCCCGAGTAGCTGGAACTCCAGGCGTCCGCCACTACGCCTGGCTATTTTTTTGTATTTTTAGTAGAGACGGGGTTTCACCGTGTTAGCCAGGATGGTCTCGATCTCCTGACTTCGTGATCCGCCCACCTCGGCCTCCCAAAGTGCTGGGATTACAGGTGTGAGCCACCGCGCCCGGCCACACTGAAGTAATTTTGAAGACAAGGACTGGACTTTTCTTTTCTTTTGTTTTTTTGAGACGGAGTCTTGCTCTTCACCCAGCCTAGAGTGCAATGGCACGATCTCGGCTCACAGCAACCTCCACCTCCTGGGTTCAAGCAATTCTCCTGCCTCAGCCTCCTGAGTAGCTGGGATTACAGGCACACAACACCATGCCTGGCTAATTTTTTGTAGTTTTAGTAGAGACGTGGTTTCACCATGCTGGCCAGGCTGGTCTCGAACTCCTGACCTCGTGATCTGCCTGCCTTGGCCTCCCAAAGTGCTGGGATTACAGCGCTCCTGGCCTGGGCTTTTCTTCAGTAAAATTCTCATTTTCTGATGTTTATGCCCCTTTAACTCAGGTTTTATCGTACATCCTGCATCAGTATTAAGTTTCTTCTTAGTATGAATGTTTAGATTCTATTGCTTTGGGTTAGAATAAAGTCTCAAAGTTTGGTTTGTGATCCATAAGGTTATTTCATGGCTGGACTTTGCCTTGTTTACATTTGTCCTTTCACTGTGAATACATAGCCTTTTTTATCTTTTCTACTGAGGCCACTGTAGAATGTTATTTTCCACATTCATTCATACTCATGAAGTGGTGGGAAGGGTTGGATAGATGGTGTTGATGATCTCTACAAAGTGATGCAGAAACCAGTGTACTTGTACCTATTAAAAAGTGACAGCAAAAAGTACAAATGACTCCCTCCCACCCCCTTGAGCCATTTGCACATAAGCTTCCTACCTGAAGCCCTATGGCCTTCAGATACTTTAATACAGTAATTCCCAAACTTTCTGGCACCAGGGACTGGTTTTGGGGAAGACAGTTTTTCCATGGACTGGAGTGCAGATGGAGATGGTTTTAGGATGAAACCCTTCCACCTCAGATCATCAGGCATTAGATTCTCATAAGGTGTGTGCAACCTAGATCCCTCATGTGCGCAGTTCACAATAGGGTTCTCTCTCCTATGAGAATCTATTGCTGCTGGTGATCTGACAGGAGGCAGAGCTCAGGCAGTAATGCTCATTTGCCTGCTGCTCACCTCTTGCTGTGCAGCTCAGTTCTTAACCAGCCATAGACTGGTACTGGTCCATGGCCCAGGGGTTAGACTCCTGCTTTAATGTATACTTCTTGGAAACAAGAACATTTTCCTATATAATCACAGAATAACCATTCGCATCATAAAATTAACATGAATGCATTACTACCACCAAATCCTCGGACCCCATTCAAGTTTCTCCATCTGACCAATAATAACTTTTTTTTTTTTTTTAGTTGTCAAATGATCCTTTATTGAAATATTTTCCTTTGTGCTTCTTAACTAGCTGGCCATTCTACCGCACCACTGTTTATGTCATCTATGATGTCATGAGGGTGGCGGCCATCAGCATTGCAGCCCACAGACTAGGCAGTCCCCAGGATCTCTTTAATCGTTCCAGAGAGTTCTCTGGCTAAAGATCAGTGCCACATCTGTCGAGCAATGTTGACAATCTCATCAAAAGTGATATTTTCACCTTGTTTAATATTTTCCTGTTTCTTTCTGTCTCCTGGCAGTTCCTTGAGGGCTTTGATGATCGGTGCAGAGGGAGAAGGTACCACGTCAATCTGGGCCTGTCTATTCTGAATAGTCAGTTTCACTGTAATTCTCAGATCCTTCGAGGTACTGGTTGCCCTGGGGGCCGATCTTGGGGGCCAGTGCAGATGTGGCATTGACTTTACCTCGATACACCTCAGATACACAACTTTGATCTCAAAGCTGGGGTGGAACTTCAGCAGCATGGTGGAGGCAGCTGGTGTTGGATGAACCTGGATTTGGTACAACCAAAGAGAGTTGCACCTTGGCCTCTTCTGAGCCAAAAACTGAAGGCAGTAATATCTTCTATAGTAAAAAGATCCGTGTTAGAATCACACGTTGGTTTTGTTAATCAGGGACTTTAGTCTCTTCAGTCTCCTGGCCAGTGAGTGCTCCTTCAAACAGACTCCTGTGTGTTTTTCTTCTCTCATAATTCTTTGAGCACTCCCTTGCTCTTTTGTACAAGATGTTTTAGTCTCATCTTTCATTTTTTTCTGCCCTAGGCCTGGAATGAGTGATTTCTCCTAGAGCCCTTGTTCTTTTTATTAGGAAATGCTGTTTCAGAGCCAAGTTTTGGGGGCTAGATGTGCTCACTGCTATTGAAAAGTTGCTGCTCATAGGCATCTTCAGTGGTGAGAGCTAGGGAATATATTTATATATATACATATATACTTCCACACACATGTATCAATATTTATGTCCACATTATTTATATATTTTGAAAACCGTGAATTCAAACTAATACCACCAATTCCATCCTAACACCACAGGATTCAATTCTAGTTTTTTCCCTTTCTATATTTGCAGTCCCCATCTCTGACGGTGATAAACCTGACTTCCATTATTATCCTTAAAATATTTACAGTTATGCATTATTTAACAATGGAAATACATTCTGAGAAATGTGTTAGGTAATTCCATTGTTGTGAAAGCATCATAGAATGTACTTACACAAACTTAGAAGTTGTAGCCTACTATACACCTAGGCTATGTGATATTAGCCTATTGCTCTTAGGATACAAACCTGTATAGCATGTTACCTTACTGAATACTGTAGGCAATTGTAACAATAACGATATTTGTGTATCTAAGCATATCTAAATATAGAAAAGGTAATGCACTGCACTATGATGTTATGATAGTTATGACATCATTATGTTACTAAGCAATAGGAATTTTTCAGCTCCGTTATAATCTGAAGGGACCAGTTTTATATGCAGTCAGTCATTGACCAAAATGTTGTTATATGGTGCACGACTGTTCTTATTTGATTAACTTCCATCTTTGTAACCCACTTCACTTCTGCCACCGTATCCTTTTCCACATCAATGTCTTTCTCATCCTACTTGGGCTCTGAAACCTCTATACTATTAATACATGGATTATTTGAAGGAGGATTTATGGAGATGATCTTGGACATCTTAATCTTAATCATACAGACACAGTATAAATATTCTAAGACCTTAACATGTATCTGGTTTTGCTGCCTAGAAGAGGAGGCTTGTACAGCACCTGTTACTCACTTTGCTTATATACTTGATACCCTGGTCTTTGCATTTAGTAAATACCAGCATAAGAACCTGCTCGTGCTTTACAATGCCTTAGGAACATTAGCAGATTCAGTAGGACATCATTCAAACAAACCAGAATATATTCAGATGCTAATGCCTCCACTGACCCAGAAATGGAACATGTTAAATGGTGAAGATAAGGATCTCTTCCCTTTACCTGAGTGCCTATCTTCAGTTGCCACAGCACTGCAGTCTGGCTTTCTTCCATACTGTGAACCTGTGTAAGAGACAATGAGGAAAACTTGCCCAAGCCATGCTAAACAATGCTCAACCAGATCAATATGAAGCTCCAGATAAAGATTTTATGTTAGTGTCTCTTGATTTACTGAGTGGCCTGGCTGAAGGACTTGGAGGCAACATTGAACAGCTGGTAGCCCAAAGTAACATCCTAACACTAATGCATCAGTGGATGCAGGATAAAATGCTAGAAGTTCGACAGAGTTATTTTGCCCTGTTAGGTGACCTCACAAAAGCTTGCTTTCAGCATGTTAAGCCTTGTATAGCTGATTTCATGCCAATACTGGGAATCAACCCAAATCCAGAATTCATTTCAGTCTGCAACAATGCCACATAGGCAGTTGGAGAAATCTCCATTCAAATGGATATAGAGATGCAGCCTTATATTCCTATGGTGTTGCACTAGCTTGTAGAAATCATTAACAGACCCAACACACCAAAGACATTGTTAGAGAATACAGCAATAACGATTGGTCGTCTTGGTTACGTGTGTCTTCAAGAGGTGGCCCCCATGCTACAGCAGTATGAAGACCCTGGTGCACCTTTCTGAGAAACATAAGAGACAATGAGGAAAAGGATTCAGCATTCCGTGGAATTTGTACCATGATCATTGTGAATCCCAGTAGTGTAATCCAAGATTTTATATTTTTTTGTGATGCTGTTGCATCATGGATTAACCCAAAAGATGATCTCAGAGACACATTCGGTGTAAGATCCTTCATGGATTTAAAAATCAAGTAGGCGATAAAAATTGGAGGCATTTCTCTGACCAGTTTCCTCTTCCCTTAAAAAGAGCGTCTTGCAGCTGTTTATGGTGTTTAATACACTTAAGCTGCAGTCCCAAAATTAGGGGTCCTTCAGTCTTGGAGACTATGAGGGAGCCTCTGCACCCAGGGAAAATACTACCCTTTACGGGGGGAAGGGTAAACCGGTAGGGAATACACTACAATCTCAACCCTACTGGAAGGGGCAGGAGGGAGGTGTTGCTGTCACTGTATTAGGTTGATGTTGGGAAACGTTTTAACATGTGGAGCCTTTGTGGGTTGAAATATGTCTCCAGCTACAACTCTGCACTGGATCTGAAGAAGCAAAAAAAAAAAAAAAAAAAAAAAAATCTGTTCAGTCTACTCACAAAACAGCACATTGTGGAATATTATGGAGAATTGTACCAAAACAGGAACCATATAAATGATGCATAGGGACAAGAAAGAGGAACAATTCTATAGCGCACAATAAAGGAAACCTAAGAATGGGAGTTACAAATAGTAAAGAAGCTTTTTTCTTTTTTTATTTAAAGTTTTTTTTTTAATCCAAGTTTTCCCACATGATGGGGCTTTGTTTTGCATATTGATGAAGAACTGCACAAACAGAACTAATATAGTTAAAATCAGCTTGCCTTCCCATAGTAGAAGCAGGTTCTTGGAAGTTACAATTTAAGGTACCCCAAAAAAGTTGGAAATAGAACAAAACAAACATGAACAATGAAGCACCCTGTGAAATGCCAAATGAGTCACTCCTTTTACCTTTTTTGGGGTGTGCAGGCTGGGTGGAATAAATGGGGCTTGGTATATCAAACTAAAGATGACATCTTAATTTTGCATTGAACATTAATGTAGCGGATATAATTTGATGGTTGCACTTCATTAGATTTAATTTCTAGGCCAATATGTTATTTTTTAAAGTGCAGTTTAAGGGTTAGGCATGCTTTCTGGCTCATAGTGGTTGAAAGTAATTTAAATTAGTGGGGAAGTAGCATGCTTGCATCACATAGAGTGAGACTGGTATTCATTTACCTATGTTGCAGCAATTTGTGTTGCAGTTTACCAATTTAGTGTAGCCCTGCTACACTAAATTGTTCCTTCTTAAGATTTGTGGGTTTTATTTTCATTAAGAATATAGACATATAAAGTACTGTAGTTTACAGCTAGTCCTTGAAATGTCTTTTTTAGGATCTGTTAGGAATAAGATTGATATTGCATTGTGTGTAACCTGCACAATGTGGAAAGCTGATATACCTGTGCAAAATCTTTGCCTCTGTGCTGTCAGTGTGATGTGCTTTCTGCATGGTTATATACTACTCATGATTCTATCAAAACTTCTAAAATTTAAATTACGTGGTAAAAGATGTGTAAAAGGCTGCGTAAATGTCAGTTGGCACATAAAGACAATTGTAGAAGTTGAAAAATGATTGCTGTATTTCAGTGTTTTATCCCCACTCAACATACTGCCTTCTAAGCTTTCTTTTTTTTTGTTCAAAGCATGATCTTAAAGATATGTTTAAGTTAATGGGTGTAATGCAGGGTTCCTACGCTGTATTTTGGTGCATGTTGGTGGCCCTCTGTGCCGTAGATGTATGCACATAGGTTGCAAGTGAAAAGCTACAGAGTGAAAGTTGGTTTGGATCCTCTTCATTTCATTTGTTTAGCTTTTCTGTTATTTTTCTCTACTTACATGTATTCCTGTGAATAAATCCTTGTTAACCTTTAAAAAATTAAAGGTACTGTTTAATACTTTTCACTTAGTTTTGTATACACATTATGACATAACCTATTTACAAAGTAAGTTTCTAAGGTATCACGTGTCATAATAGCAAGCTGCAAGTAACTAAAAATGTGATGCTAGCATAGATGTGGTAGTGGAGGGACAGCTTATAGAAAGTTGAGATGGTCCTAATGTAGGTAAATAGAAATCTCAAACTGATATTGATACTTTCAGGTATGCTTTGACATTGAGTTACAAAATTTGAACGAATAGAAGGGAGCTACTCCAACTCCAGTAGTGAATCTTCCATGTACATTTAATTATCAGTATAGATCTTTTTGTCCTATTAATATAACTTTTAGGTGTGAAGAAAAGTTTAAATGTATGAAATGTAGTTGTTGTGATTCTTTAAACATAATTATATTTTTCTTCATTCAGCATTAATGTTTCTTATAGATTATGTTACAATATGAAGTTCAGTTCAATAATTCTTGAGCTTCTACTATGCTCCAGGCATACTCTTAATTTCTGAGGACACTGAGGTGGATAAGGCTGTCCTTGTCCTTAATTAGTTCAAAATCTTGTTTGATAGGCAGATAAATTATAAACACATGATCGTAGTATGAATTTATAAATGATTAGTATGCATATGCTCTTGAAATAACAAAAGGAAAGTATGTGTGTGTGTGTGTGTGTGTGTGTGTGTGTGTGTGTGTTGGGTCATTCAGAAGCTTTTGAAGAGGAAGTTAACTTGTGAGTTGAGTGTTGAAGAATGAATGCAAGTTTTACCAGTTGGCCAAGGAAATTAGATGGTGAGCATTTTAGCATACGGAACAGCATGTACAGCATGAGTATATCACAAAATCATGATGTGTGAGAGGAACATCAGCATTGCTGAGTATAGGGTATGGGGTAGAGGGTAGTTAGAAATGACCCCAGGGAAATAAGATGGTGGAAAGGAAGAAAAATTCAGTATCTCAAACTGAAAGGACAAATTATATTTATAAATCAGATTTTTAAAATAAGATATAACATTAAATATTATAAATATTTCTGTATCAGATCTTCATACACCCCACCTATGTATGAGACCATGAACAGAGTACTTTTTTTCTGAACATTTTTTCTCATAAAAATGAAGTTACTGGATTACCTAAACTCCTTCTTGATCAAAGCCTGTGTTGCAGAGAAAAAGTCAGTGAACTTAAAAGTAATTTGTTAATAAACAGAGTAGGCGGGGTGCGGTGGATCATGCCTGTAATTCCAGCACTTTGTGAGGCTGAGGTGGTAGGATTGCTTGAGCCCAGGAATTTGAGACCAGACTGAGCAATGTAACAAGACCCCATCTGTACAAAACACTAAAAAATTAGCCAGGCATGGTGGCATATGCCTGTGGTTCCAGCTACTTGGGAAGCTGAGGTGGGACGATCACTTGAGTCCAGGAGGTTGAGGCTGCAATGAGCCATGATTGCGCCACTGCACTCCAGCCTGGGTGACAGAGTGAGACCCTGTCTTAAAAAAAAAAAAAAAAAAAGAACAGAGTGTAATATGTTCCTTTTACCTAGCATAGTACCTGGCATAGAGTAGATGTATAATGGGTAATATTTTTGGAGAAAATATTGAATTCTGCAATTTGGATCAAGTAGCTATTATAAAATTGTTATAGTTAATGAGGACACTGAAGCTAAGAGTCTTTCACTAATTGAATGAATTTTAGGAGTTGTTGAAGTTGCTATTCTGGCCTGAATAAGTAATTAAATATTTTTCAATTTAGGTTATTTGGTTTTATTGTCCCGTGGTGATTATAAGTATTGCTTTCAGGCTCTTCAACTTCTAGTGGCATTTGTGTGGTACTTCCGCAATCTTTTATCCCTTTCCTGGTCCTGGGAGTCAGGCAACCTGTATTAGCAGAAGCTGCCAGCTTGGTAGCTTAAGTTGGGTTGCATGGAGACACAGATAGGAAAGTTGGTCTGTGGAACCTCTTTCTACCTTTTAGTACATGGTGAAGGAGAAAATAGCATGATAACATTAGACCAACCATTGGGAAACCCAGATTTCAGCCGTAGCTGAATAAGTAGTGTCTCATATGACCACAAAATATTCCAGGCTTATCTTGTATTTTCCCTGCCCTAGCCCTTGAGTCATTATGTCTCCAAGGAAGATTTTTATTGGAGAATGAGATTTAGAAACCAAGATCTGGGGCCTAGGTGTGTTCGTTGCTACTGAGGTGTAATTACTTTTAGTTATTGTGGCAGACAGAACTGACAATTATATGTATACACACACACTTCTCTTCTATATTTATTTCTGTATCCATTTCCGTATATATTAAAGACCAAGAGCTCACACGGATACCTTTGACTCCAATCAAATGCCACAGAATTTGTTCTAGCCTTTCTTCTTATTTTTAAGCCTTTTCTCAGAAAGTGAGAAACTTGGTTTCTCAACCACAATATATTTTCTTAGTTATTCAACACTGTGTGTGTGTGTGTGTGTGTGTGTGTGTGTGTGTATAAGGATTATAGTATATATTCATACATAGTTATAGATATAGTATATATAGTATATTATATACCATAACTATACTATATTTATACTATATTATATACACACAGTTTCAGAATTGCTAACTTACACCCTATGAAAAAGATTTACTAACTTACAATATTTGTTTAGCATTTTTTTTTTAAACCTTAACCTTACAGAATACAATAAGTACTGTTTTCCAAGTTTACTTACGTTAGTTGTTTTAGTTCTCAATCCTTTCAGCGTGATTGTATTATTCATTTGTAATACTTTTAGGTTCATTTGTTGCTGTTTGTATTTCGTTTTGGGTTCTGCCCACATCGTGGTTTATTTAAAGTACTCATTTATTTCATGTTACTTCATAGAGATCTTCCCTTTTCTTCTTTTTAAAAAAATATTTTATTTTTAAATTTTAACCTATGTATGTATTTGTTTGTTTATTTTGAGACTGGGTTATGAGACTGGCTAATTTTTGTATTTTTGGTAGAGATGGGGTTTCACCATGTTGCCAAGGCTGGTCTTGAACTCCTGGGCTTAAGTGATCGACCCGTCTTGGCCTTCCAAAGTGTCGGGATTACAGGCGTGAGCCACCACACCTGGCCGAGATCATCCTTATTCTTTTTGTACCGCTGTATACTACTTATTTTGTAGATTGTGCATTGTTTATTCAATTACTCTCCCAACAATGGGCATCAAGATTGTTTCCAATATTTTACAGTTATAAACTGCCGTAATGACTATGCTAGTATAGAGCAGTATTATTTTTGTAATTTAGATAAAAAAACACATCTACCACCTTACTTGTGTCCATACCAGCTCCTATTCAGTTGTGTAGAAACTTCTGCATATAAAAGTGCTAGTCAGTATTACTATATGAAAGTTGCTATGCATGGTATTCTATTTTCCTAGAACATTCCAGTGACTTTCTACTCTTACCTAAAGCTTACTGGTAAATCTTAAGTGCATTGATTAATAAATCTCTGGTATTACCATAATCTACTCATAAAATCATCCTATGATATTTTTATTACCACCTCCCCCAAAGTATAATGTCCTTAAGATATGAAATTCTGCAGTAAAACAGAACAAAAAGAAAAGCTTTTAAAAAATGTTACTGAAACTTCATTTGATGTAATATACAAAAATGTGATGGGGCTGTCCTCAGGTTAAATGGGCACTGATGGATGCACTGTAACTTGACTGGTTTGAGGACAGAAAATTGAACCTAAAATAAGGAAATTCTGACTGCTAAAGGAATTGAGGTCACTCAATACATTCATTTTCTCTCATCTAACAAAAAGACTACACATACCACTAATGCACTTGGCATTTTGATTTATTAAATATATATGTTAACTGAAGTCTGCCACCGACTGTTATAATCAGTATAGCTGAAATTACTCATCTGAAGCCTGTGAAGGCTGAAGTAAAAAAGTAAATTTTAAAAGGCTTAAGTAAAGTCCAGTCAAGCAAAACTTGATTTGAGCTTACTGCTGAGGTCTACAACATATTACATTACTGCAACCATTAGAAGTCCCACCAGTCACACCTGACTCTTCTCCTTTTTCAGGTGCTAATGTGCTTCTGTAGTGGCCTATTTCTGTTTCAGCCTTTGTAAGGCATCACAGAAAGGAAGGAACAAATATTTAAATTATAGAAAGTGAATGCAGTAAGTATAGGATTGACTCTAAAACAGTAGAAACAAATAAGCCTAATTATAGCATTTGAGAAACAGGGTGTATTCGTTTTCTCTGGCTGCTGTGACAAATTACCACAAATACAATGGCTTAAAACAACACACTGTTTGTTATCTTACTATCCTCTCTAGCTTACAAGTCAGACACATGTCTCTGCAGGCTAAAATCAAGATGTCAGCAGGGCTAGGTGCCTTCCTGGAGACTCGAGGGAAGAATCCATTTCCCTGTCTTTTCCACCTTCTAAAAACTGCCTTTGGTTCATGACTTCCTTCCTCTGTCTTCAAACCGAGCAACACCGCACCTCTTTGACCATTCTCCTTCTGTCTGTCTTCTGCCTCCCTCTTCCATTCTGAGTGATTATTATACATTGGGCCCCCTCAGATAATCCAGGATAATACCTCTATTTTAAGGTCAGCTGACTGGCAACCATAATTCCCTCTTTGCTATGTAAGCTATCATATTTACAGGGATTATTCTGCTTATCAGGAAAATTATTTCATTTCTCTGAAACTCCTGTTTTTATTGTAGTAGAATTCTTAAAATATTTTGAGAAGCCATAATTTTAGCATGGAGACACGCCAAAATGAAACAATATTTGTTTGTGCCTTTTGAAAGGAGCTACATGCTTTCCTACTCATTTCTTCCTCTTTATTTCTCAGATTTTGAATTTATTCCTGTTTATTTTTAAAGTTCCTGGGTGTTAAGGTAGGTTTGTTCCAGGGAAGGATAGAGAAAAATCTAAGATCATTTCTTGAGAGCAGAAGAGAAATTTGTAAAGAATTGAGCTATAGCTGAAGTCTACCCTCTTTGGTTAATAATTCACAGGGAATACAATGATGAACAGACTTTTTTTTTTAAAGTAATAATTTTGTTTCATAGGGTATTCTTTGTGAAGAATTTATGTAGACATATTCACAGAGCCTTGTTCTGTTTTCTTGGTCTGGGAACCAGTATATTTTAAGGAAGTTTCTTCTGTACAGTGCCTGTATTCTGGTGATGTTTTGTAAGCTTGTTTAAAGTTGTTCACTCTTACCACATCTGGCCATTTGAGTTTTACAGAGAGTTAGAGTCATGGCCTGAGCCTATTTTCCAGAAAGATTTTTTAAATTTAATTTTTATATATTTTGGGAATACAGATGCAGATTTTTCACATGTGTATATTGTGTAGTGGTGAAATCTAGGCTTTTAGCATACCCATCACCTGAATAATGATCATTGTACCTATTGGTAAATTCTAAGCCCTCACCTCCTTCCCATCCTCCTACCTTTTGTAGTTTCCAGTGTCTGTTATTCCACTCTGTATGTCCAGCTGTACCCATTGTTTAGCTCCCACTTATAAGTGAGAGCATGTGGTATGTGACTTTCTGTTTCTGAGTTATTTCACTTATAATAATACCCTCTAGTTCCATGTTACTGTGAAAGACATGATCTCATTCTTTTTTATGGCTGAGTAATATTCCATGGTGTATGTGTATTTCCCACACTTCCAGAAACAGTTTACCTGAAATCTCTCGGAGTAGGAATTTTTGGGTGTCACAATAAGAGTCGGAGATAGGAACACTGGATTAGAAGTCGGGATGAGTGTTAGTCTGGATTTATTTATTTTCACTAAATATGTTTTGGGTACCTACCAGCTAGTAATTTTAAATAAGATAATGGCATTTTTTTAAACCTTCCTGGAGAATTTGTTCCATTATTCTTTTAAATCTGGAAAATGTTCATATTTAATTATTATATCCCCTCCATTGTTTCTGTGCCCCTTTTCTAGAACTTCTAATAATTGGCTGTTATATCTCTGTTGAGCCTCTTTTTCATTTTCTCTTTGTTTTCATTTATTTTTTAAACCTTTGTTCTTTTACCTTTTTTGGCCTTTTTTTTTTTTTTGAGAGATTTCATAGAGTTTATTTTTAAACCAGGCAATCACTTAACCCTTTATGGAAATTTCAAATATATTCACTTGTTATTTTCTGTCTTTTTTTCTTTCTTTCTTTCTTTAAGTAACCATCTTACTGGGCGTTAAGTGGTATTTTATTGTGGTTTTGATTCGCTTAGTCTCAAATGAGGTTGAACTTTTTTGTGTGTTTATTGTCTATTTGTATATCTTTAGAGAAATGTTTTTTCAAGTCTTTTGCCCATTTAACTGGGCTGTTTGTGTTTTTGTTGTTGAGTTGTAAGAGTTGTTTATATTTTCTTGATACCAGATTCTTATCAAATGTGTGAATTGCAAATATTTTCTCCCATTCTGTAGGCTTCTTGATAATGTCCTTTGATATACAAGTTTTTAATTTTTATGAAGTCCAGTTTATCTATTTTTGTTGTCATTGTTTATGCTCTTAATGTCGTATCAAAGAATTCATTACCAGTCCAAAGTAAAAGTCACAAAGACTTATCCTTATGTTTTTGTTTCGTTTTGTTTTTTAAAAAAGTCGGGGTTTTGCTATGTTGCCCAGGCTGGTCTTGAACTCCTGGACTCAAGCAGTCTGCCTGCCTTGGCCTCCCGAAGTGCTAGAAATACAGATGTGAGCCACCGCACCCAGCCTCTTTTGTTTTTTTCCTGAGAGTTTTATGGTTTTAGTTCTTATATTGAGGCCATTGATCCATTTTATGTTTTTGTATATGGTGTGAGGTAATGATCTGACTTCATTCTTTTGCCATTGGTTGACAGTTTTTTTCTTTCACCATTTTAAAAGTGCCATCTGAGACCAGGCACAGTGGTGCATGCCTGTAATCCCAGCACTTTGGGAGGCTGAGGCGGGTGGATCACCTGAGGTCAGGAGTTTGAGACCAGCCTGGCCAACATGACGAATCCTCATCTCTACTAAAAATACAAAAATTAGCCTGGTGTGGTGGCGGGCACCTGTAATTCAAGCTACTTGGGAGGCTGAAGCAGGAGAATTGCTTGAACCAGGGAGGTGGCAGTTGCAATGAGTGGAGATCGTGCCACTGCACTCCACTTGGGCAACAAAAGCGAAACTCCATCTCTAAATAAATAAATAAATGCCATCTGTAGCCGGGTGCCATGTCTCACACCTGTAATCTTAGTACTTTGGGAGGCTGAGGCAGGCAGATCGCTTGAACTGAATGAGAATGAAAATATATTTTATCAAAATTTGTAGAATGTAACTAAAGCAGTGCTTAGAAGGAAATTTATAGTGATGAATACTTGCATTAGAAAAGAAGAAGGGTCTCAAATCAGTAATCAAAGCTTGTACCTTAAGAAACTAGTAAAAAATCAAATTAATTCCAAATCAAGTAGAAGGAAGGAAATAATCAGGAAAACAGAGATTAATGGAATTAAAAGCCCAAAAGTAATTGAGAAAAAGCAACGAAATTGAAAGGTGGTCTTTGAAAAGATCAATAAAATTGATAAACATTTAGCAAGACTGACAAAGGCATAGTGAAACAAAGATTACAGGGTTGAAGGAAAAAGATACCGCTACAAACTCCACAGACATTAAAAAGATAATGAGAGAAAACTATGAGAAATTAAGCACATAAATTTTTACTACTTGAGTGGACCAATTCCTTAAAAGCACAAACTACTAAACTTCACCCAAGTTGAAATAGATAATTTGAATAGCCCTATAACCATTAAAGAATTTACTCTGTGGAAAAAAAAATTCCAAAAAAGATCTTGTCCACATGGTTTCACTGGCCAATTTTACCAAACAATTAATGAAGAAATAACAGTAATTCTACATAGACTTTTCCTGAAAGTAGAAGAAAATGGAAAGAGATCCCCAATTTATTTTACAAATCCAGCAATAACCTCACACTAAAACCAGACAAATAAATTATATGAAAAGGAAACTGCAGTCCAATATCCCTCATTAACATCGTAGTGCATGCTTGTAATTTTATGTGGCTTCAGCAGCCATTTCAAATGCAGGTTTAACTTTCTAGTGCCAGAGGCAGAGGCAGGCCATAGTCACCCTTGACACAGTTTCCAGTTCTATACTACACCCAAATGACAAGCTGGTGGCCAGAGGTAAGAATTGAGAGGCATGACTCCTGCCTAGCAGACAGCGTTCTCTTTCCCACAGCTTGCATTAAATGGACCATTCACTTATTTGCTAATGAACTTAAAGTGACCACACCCTATTTCCCAATAGTACTAGTTGCCAAACTCTTTTTCTCTCTACCTGCTTGTGCTCCGCATGTGGCCTCAAGGCATTCCCTGTATGCTTCAAGTTCTGTAAGTACTTAAAAACTCTTAAATTTTCGCATTGTGTGTGTTTCATTGAAGCCATGTCCACAATCTGACCCATAACTGCAATGCCTGCCCTGAAGCGATCCATGCAAGTGAATACCGTATGAGCACTCTTTTGTCTGGGCCTCTGGTGGCTGCTGGTGACAGTAGCTCCCAGCCTGTGTTGACAGAGAAACTTGAAGAGTTTTATTCAAAATAAAGATAGTCTTAAAAGTCTTAATATAATGTCAGCATATTGAAACTAACATGTAAAAACAAAACAAAACAAAAATATAATGTCAGCAAATTGAAACCAACATGTAAAACAATGAAACAAAACAAAAACCAAACACTATTTGCCAAATGGGCTTATCCTAGGAATGCAAGGTTGAAAATCGATCAGTATAATCTATCATGTTAACAGTCTTATGGGAAAACAAATCCTAACAATTGTTGGAGAAAAGACATTTCATTTAGCAAAATATAACATCAATTAATGACCTTTGCAAACTAATAGAAAATAACTTGACATCTTCAAAAAACCTACAGCTAACATTATGTTAATACTTAATGAAGAAAGATTAAATGCTTTTCTCCTAAATTCGAGAACAAGACAAATATGTCCATTCTCACCACTCTTATTCAATGTAGTTAATGAAGTTCAGCCAGTGTTATAAGCCAAGAGAAAGAAAGAAAAGGGATTTTTATTTTCAGATGACATTCTCTACGTGGAAGACTCAACATATTTAAGATGTCACTTCTTCCTAAATTTATAAAGACTTAATGCAATTTTTTCATCAAAACCCTGGAAATACTTTTTTGTAGATATAGACAGGCTTGTTCTAAAATTTATATAAAAAAGCAAGGGAACTAGAGTAGCTTACACAATTTTGAAAAATAAGAATAAAGTGGCAAGAATTACTCTACCTGATGTAAAGACTTAATAGTTACAGTCATCAAGAGAGCGTGGTATTGGCAGAAGCATAGACACATAGATCAATGGAACGGAATAGAGAACCCTGAAGTAGACCTACACAAATATGCCCAAGTGATTTTTGAAAAAGGTTAGAGGCAGTTTAACAAATAGTACTGAAACAATTGGATATCCATAGGTAAAACAAAGTAAAACAAAATAAATCTCAACCTAAACCTCTCACCACCTATTAAAATTAATTCAGAATGGATCATCGATCATATAAAATGTGAACTATGAAACTTTAAAAGAAATATAGAAGAAAATCGTTAGGAACTAGGGCTAAGCAAAGAGTTCTTTGATATTAAAAACATAATCCATAAGAAAGAAATTGACAAATTGAACCTCATTAAAAGAAAAAATGTTTGCATTGCAAAAAACTCTATTAAGAGGATGAAAACAAGCTACAGCGTGGGAGAAGAACTTTGCAAACCATATATCTGACAAAGTTCTCGTGTCCAAAATATCTAACAAACTCTGAAGTTGAACAATACAAAATATCAGCAATTTAATTAGAAAAGGAGTAAGAGACTTTGACATTTCACCAAAGAGGAGATATGGATGGGAAATAAGGACATGGAAAGACATTCATCATAATTAACCCTTAGGAAATTGCAAATTAAAATCACATTCTATACACCTATAGAATAACCAATATAAAAAATTGTGATAAAACCAAATGCTAGTGAAAATGCCGAGAAACAACATTTCTTATATTTCTGATGGAAATTAAAATGGTTCAGCTGGAAAAAATATATACAAATGCTCCAAGCTAAATAAATTGGGCTGGAAAAAGCCTCTTTGTGCTCTAGAAGATAACAAATGAGAGACAGAGTTTGTCTTTGTTCAGATTATGGAAAATAATTCAAAAGTTACAGATTTAGAGAGGGAATACACCTTGAATTCATTTCTAAACCAACAATCTTTGAAAATAGGGTTGCCATCTTGATTTTCTGGTCCAGATCACAAGGGAGTAAGACTAGCTTTAAATTTAACATTCATTACCCAGGTTGCTCTGTAGCCAGATGCCAAAGGGTCACATCCTGTGGCACACAAGGAGCCACCTCTGTTCTGATTTCATTAAACTCCCCTGAAATCCACAGGATACACAGGGGGCTCCATGCCTTGATCCTCAGTATCAAATGACTGTAATTTCACTATGCCAACCCCTTCGAAACAAACTTACCCCTCCAGTTCCTTTTGTTGATGGGGAAGCAGGTTGGAGTATTCTCAGCTTACTAACAAAGTTGTTTAAGGAGTCTTCTTAGTCCTTTGACCTATTGCTCCCATTTTCTTGATTTTAAGTGTTGTTTAATATTGGACAGGATTAGTCATGCAAATACTTAAAAGTGAGTGGACAGGAAGCAAGCATATGCCACTGGTACAAACGGGATATGGAGCTCAAGCTGCTTGATTTTGTTTCACACTAAATGAAATTAGTGCTTGTTTAGGACAAACCTGGTGGGCCACCACAGTCGAGCATGTTTGTCCGATTAGCTAGTGAACTACTAAATGTGTGTTCTGTTCCAATTGGATCATTGTCCTCAAAAGTCAATTTTTAAAAGTTTGACTTAAAAAAAACAAGATTCCTATAACTAATAAGTGAGTTTAGCAATGTTGCAAGATACAAAATCAATGCACACAATTCTTGTTTCTCTGTATCATCAATGACTAGTTATAAACTTGAGTAAATATAACAATGTTGTTTATAAGATCTACCAAAACACTTAGGTATAAATCTAACAAAGTCTATACTGAAGAGTATAGGGATCTTATGAAAGAAATTACAGAAGATCTAAATAAAAATATGACCTACATAAATACATAAAGTAATGTGGTGTTCATGAATTGGAAGACTCAGTGTAGTGAAGACATCACTCCATCCCAAAGTGATGCAATACCAATCAGAATCCCAGCAGGAGTACCAATATGTTTTGTTGGAAAAAGCAGAACAAAGCTGGAGGAATTGTACTAACCCATTTTAAAGCTACAGCAATCAGGACACTGTAACATTGACAAAGGGACAGTCAGGTAAATCAATGGAACGTAATAGAGGCTCCAGAAAAGAAATGGAACCACATAAAGATGGCCTGTGGATCTTTGACAAAGATGTAAAAGAAACTCAGTGGAGAAATCTTTCAACAAATGTTGTTGGAACCATTTGATCGTTCATATATTAAAAAACAAAAATTGAACTTTGACTAAAATTTTACATCTTATTCAGAAATTATTCCAAAATCGATCTTTGGTGTAATTGTGAAGTGTAAAACTGTAAGAAAACATTTTAAAATACTATGACCTGGAGATTAGGTGAAAAGTTATTAGAAATTATGCCAAAAGCATGATCCATAAAAAATTAACTGGATTACATTAAATTAAAAACCTTTGTTATACCAAAGATACTGTCAAGAAACAATAAAAAGTTAAATTACAGACTAGGAGAAAATATTTGTGACTCACATATCTGTCAAAAGACTTTTATCCAGAATGTATAAAGAACTCTTAAAAGTCAGCAATAAGTAAGTAGACAACCCAAATAAAAAAATGTATAAGAGACCTGAATAGACACTTTATCAAAAAGGATGTAAGAGTGGCACATAAACATGTAAAAGTGTGTTCAACATCATTAGCAAATTCAGGCCATGCTGAGACACCACTGCACACCTATTAGAAGAGCTAAAATAAAGATTACTGACAGTAACTAAGGGCTGTTGAGGATGCGGAGCAACTAGAAGTCTCATTCATTGCTGATTGATATGTGGAATGTTACAGCAACTCTGGGAAATGACCTAGCAGTTTCTTGAGAAGTAAACATACACTCACTGTATCATCTAGCAGTCCTACTCCTGGGTATTTACCATAGAAAAATGAGAGCTTATATTCACACAAAAAGTTGTACATGCATGCTTATAATAACTTCATGTATAGTAGTTAAAAACTAGAAAGAATCGAAATATCCTTCATTAGTAAACTGGTACACAAACTGTACATTCGCAGTGGAATAGTACTCAGCAGTAAAAAGAAACCAATGAACCTTAAAGGCATTATGCCGAGTGAATGAAGTCATTCTCAAAATGTTACATGCTGTATGATTCCATTTATATGATATTCTTGAAAGACAAAACTATGGTGATGGAGAACAGATCAGTGTTTGACAGAAGGTATGGATGGGAGGAGGGTGTAACTATAACTGGATAGTGTGAGGGACTTCTTCGAGGGTGAAGAAACTGTTCTGCATCCTAATTGCGTAGGTGTTTACACATCTATTTGTGCTTTAAAATTTATAAACTATACCCCCCAAAATTAATTTTACAGTGTAATTAAACTAATGATGGTGTCATTCATTTGTCAGAAACATTTGTAGTGGAGGAGATATGTGTGAAGGAAGCACTGACCCACCGTCTCACAGTTCACTCTATTTGAATAGAAATGTGTTCTCAAAGTCCAAGGAAGTTCTATGGTAAACCTGCTCATATGTGCTCAGAGTTTTAATTCCAGTCAGTCTTACGGGAAGCCTCTGGAAGCCAGAGAATATACATATTTGGGTTTTCATTGTCATACTCCCAAGTAATGATTGCATTTTAATGGTCTACTAAGGAAAACAGGTCTATATGGATGTTGGCTCCCAATAAGTGCAGGACTGCCAGTTAGAGAAAGAGGCTGCCACAACAAACAGGGAATAGAAACTCTTTCCCACATTAACCAATTTCCGCACTGCGTGGTTTCCTCTTTTCCTGTAAAAATGCAGTTTCTACCCTGTGCAGATGATTTCTAAGCTGGTGAAGAAAAGTTAGAGTAAGTTAATTTTTTTTTCTCCTATTACCTGAACCCTTACTCTAATTCTAATGATATCTGTGATGTCACTCTTCTCAAAATCTGATGTTAAACATAGACCTCCCCAAAAGATGGACAAGGGAAGAATTGCCTAAAGCAGATGTTAGAATTCAGTAATCTTACTCTACGGTGTTTTGTCAGACTTACTGTTCAACATCTTCTGGTTGTCATCTATTTGGTAATGACTCCCACAATTTAAATCTCTTTGCTTAACCTAGACCCCTATATTCAGTTGTCCTTTGAATTTGTCTTCTCAAAGATGCAGCATGCACATCAAAATAATTGGGCTTCAAAACTATGTATTCTTTTACATTCTACCAGATTTGGCCTTCCTTTTTGGTTTTGCTTCCATTATTGTTTTATTTATTTAATCTTTTCCAGCTTTATTGAGGTTGACTTTCCTTTTTTTGTTTTGCTTCCATCATTTGTTTTATTTACTTGTTTAATCTTTTCCAGCTTTATTTAGGTTGGCCTTCCTTTTTTATGCTATATTTTAGTTAATAAGCATCATACATTTGTTTCTCAAGCCAGGAGCTAAGGAGTCATCCATGGCTTCTTGCTTACTTCTCAGTTAACTTTCGTCCTGTAGAGTCTAACTCCTCAGTGTGTTTCATTACTGCTTATTCTTTGTTCTCACTGACACTGATTAGTATCAGGCCACTGACATATGCCACATGGATTCTGCAATAGCAACAAAACTGGTTTTTCTGTCTCACTTAAATCCATTCTCTGCACTGCAGCCAGAATAATACTTCTCTAGTGCAAATCTCAATTTGTCACTTTTTAAAACTCTTTAGTTTTGTTTACCTGGGCATATCCTGTACCCAGGTTAGTGCTTTGCATATATTAGTAGTGTTATTTGTAAATTATTGAGAATGTTATTCTGGATCAATGCCTAGCCCCCCAAATTGGCTGGCTGCCAAGACTGATGGTACCACACATGTACCAAAAGTATTTGAAAAGACTTAACTCACAAAATGAGACTTTCTGGGGAGAACAGGGCAGTCACCCACACTGGTTCACAATGGTTTGCATGGAGGGGAGGGGCGGGTGGCACTGATATTTGTCATGGTTAGTGAATGGGCTGGGTTGAAGGTTCCCACATGGCAGGCTGGTTTTGTGTGATTTGAACTTCCCAGGGGTGCCAGGACTTAATCCAACATGAAGTTTTACTTATTATAAAAGCCCTATGTCCTTTTTACATAAAGGAAAAATTTATTATTACAGAAAAGTAAAAAAAAAAATTAAAAACATAAGTATGTGATTACGTTGTCACATATTGGAAGATTATACTTGTCCTTCAGTTTATCACCTGCCAGATATTTGAATGTATTTTTCAGCATTAAAATTGTAGTCATATTGTGCATATGTAATCTGCTTATTTTCTTCTCCCCCATTTTACAGAGTGGATCTTTATCTAATGAGAGGAATGTTTGAAACATCATAAATAAGGATTTATTTATATATGTTTGATTTTCTTTTTTTCCTCTCTCTCCCTCCATTTTTTGCCTCTCTTCCTTCCTTCCTTCTTTCCTTCCGTGTTCCTCTTCCCCTTTCCTTTTCGACTGGGCTTTTTTAGTAACTTCATAGAGTGATATAATTATTCTGTCACCTTTACATTCATTAGAGTAGGCTCACTCCCATTCTTTGAGGCTGTATTTTTTAACCATTCATTATAAAATGAAAGGTACAGAAAATCACATAAAATGTAGCATTTAGTTGGTTATTAAAAGTTTGGCATCTTTTTAACAGTGGTGACAGTTCTCCTTTCACTGATTCAGTGCTGCTCAGCAGGCCCTGCTCTGGACTTAGAGCACAACACTATATTGCTTTGGATTCTTTGCCGTGGCCTTAATTGTCAGATCTGGCCCAGGGTACCCAACACTGTCTTGTTTCACACATACTCAGACACACATACACAAACAGCCAAATGTTTCTTGAGAGGATATGATTTTGGGGGGAATGAAATTACTTATAATGCTTATTGTGATAAATGAGAAAACATAGGTACTGTAAATCAAAAAAATAAAAATCTCATTTCTTCTATTTTATTTTATTATGTTTATTTATTTATATTTTTTGAGACAGTCTCTCTCTCTGTTGCCTGGGCTGGAGTGCAGTAGTGCGATCTCGGCTCACTGCAACCTCCACCTCCCGGGTTCAAGAGATTCTCCTGCCTCAGCCTCCTGAGTAGCTGGAATTACAGGTGCCTGCCACAACGCCTGGCTAATTTTTGTATTTTTAATAAAGACGGAGTTTCACCATGTTGGCCAGGGTGGTCTTGAATTCCTGACCTCAGGTGATCTGCCCGCCGTGGCCTCTCAAAGTGCTGGGATTATAGGCATGAGCCACCGCGCC
Organism: Homo sapiens; assembly: GCF_000001405.40. Lineage (NCBI taxonomy): Eukaryota > Metazoa > Chordata > Mammalia > Primates > Hominidae > Homo > Homo sapiens. The sequence goes on from NC_000010.11 coordinate 84,409,286, forward strand.
TGGCCTATTTATTTATTTAAAAAAATTTTTTTTTTGTAGAGATGGGATCTCCTTATGTTGCCCAGGCTGGTCTCAAACTCCTTGGCTCAAGCGATCCTCCTGCCTCAGCCTCCCAAAGTGCTGAGAATACAGGCATTAGCCACTTTGCCCATCCAGAAATCTCATATTTCTAAAAGTTAATCTGTATTTTGGTTTCTTTCCAAGTATTTTCTATGTATATTATAGTGTTTTTATTTTCATAAAATGGTTAATTCTGTACATGCTGTTTTAGATAACTGCTTGATTGCTCTCTTTTTTTTTTTCTTAAACCAGTTAACTTCTAGTTCTTTAACACAGAACTATGTTCAAATGGAAAACATTTGTGAAGAAGCATAAGGAACATTTTGGAGTTAATGTATATGTTTGTTGTCTTGATTTTGATGATGTTTCCGTACCATGACTGTAATGTCAACATTTATCAGTTTATTTTTCTTCGACTTTTATTTAAGTTTATGGGTACATGTACAGGACATGCAGGTTTCTTACACATGTAAATGTGTGCCATGGTGGTTTGCTGCACAGATAATTCTATCATCCAGGTATTAAGCCCAGCATCCATTAGTTATTCTTCCTGATCCAATCCCTCCTCCCACCCCCTGCCCTCTGCTAGGTCCCAGTGCATGTTGTTCCCTGCAATGTGTCCATGTGTTCCCATCATTCAGCTCCCACATGTAAGTGAGAACGTGCGGTCTTTGGTTTTCTGTTCCTGCGTTAGTTTGATGAGGATGTCTTCCAACTCTAATGATGTCCTTGCAAAGGACATGATCTCATTCCATTTTGTGGTTGCATAGTATTCCACGGTGTATATGTACCACAGTTTCTTTATCTGGTCTGTTATTAATGGGAATTTAGGTTGATTCCATGTCTCTGCTACTGTGAATAGTGCTGTAATGAACATATGCATGCATGTATCTTTATATAATAGAATTATTTATATTTCTTCAATTATATATCCAGTAATGGGATTACTGGGTCAAATGGCATGTCTGCCCCTAGGTCTTTGAGGAATTACCACACCATCTATCACAATGGTTGAACTAATTTATACTTCCACCAACAGTGTAAAAGTGTTCCTTTTTCTTCACAGCCATACCAGCATCTGTTGATTTTTGACTTTTCAATAATAGCCATTCTGACTGGTGTGAGATGGTATCTCATTTTGGTTTTTATTTGCATTTCTCTAATGATCATTGATGTTGAGCTTTTCTTCATCTTTGTTGGCTGCATGTATGTCTTCTTTTGAGAAGTGTCTGTTCATGTCCTTTGCCCATGTTTTATTGGGATTGTTTGCTTATTTTCTAGTAAATTTGCTTAAGTTTCTTGTAGAGTCTAGTGACTAGACCTTTGTCAGACGGATAGATTGCAAAAATTTTTCTCCCATTCCATAGGTTGTCTGTTCACCCTTATGATAGTTTCCTTTGCTGTGCAGAAGCTCTTAATTAGATCCCATTTGTCAATTTTTGCTTTTGTTGTAATGCTTTTGGCATTCTCATCATGAAGTATTTGCCTGTGCCTAAATCTTTACCTGAATGGTATTGCCTAGATTTTCTTCTAGGGTTTTTATAGTTTTGGGTTTTACATTTAAGTCTTTAATCCATCTTGAGTTAATTTTTATGTGTAGTGTAAGGAAGAAGTCCAGTTTCAATTTTCTGCGTATGACCAGCCAGTTCTTCCAGCACCATTTATTAAATAGGGTGTCCTTTCTCTGTTGCTTGTTTCTGTCAGGTTTGTGGAAAATCATATGGTTATAGGTGTGCAGTCTTATTTCTGAGTTCTCTATTCTGCTCCGTTGGTCTATGTATCTATTCTTATACCAGTACTGTGCTGTTTTGGTTACTGTAGCCTTGTCTGTAAAGTGAGGTAGCATGATGCCACCAGAATCTGGGTGCTCCTGTATATAGGCTCCTGGGTGCCTATATATTTAGTTCTTTTTGCTTAGGATTGTCTTGGCTGTTTGGGCTCTTTTTTGGTTCCATATGAATTTTAAAATAGTTTTTTTCTAATTCTGTGAAGAATGTCAATGGTAGTTTAATGGGAATAACATTGAATCTATAAATTCGTTTCGGCAGTATGGCCATTTTCATGATATTGATTTTACCAACCATCCATGAGTGTGGAATGGTTTTCCATTTGTTTGTTTCCTCTCTGATTTCTTTGAGCAGTGGTTTGTAGTTATCCTTGAAGAGGTTCTTTACTTCCATTGTTAGCTGTGTTAATACGTACGTATTCTCTTCTTTTTGTGGCAGTTATGAATGGGACTTCATTCATGATTTGGTTCTCAGCTTGCCGGTTGTTGGTGTTTAGGGATGCTATCCATTTTTGCACACTGATTTTGTATCCTGAGACTTTGCTGAAGTTGCTTATCAGTTTAAGAAGCTTTGGGGCTAAGATGATGGGGTTTTCTAGATATAGAATTATCTCATCTGCAAACAAAGATAATTTGACTTCTTCTCTTCCTATTTGAATACCTTTCATTTCTTTCTCTTGACTGATTGCCCTGGCCAGAACTTCCAGTACTATGTTGAATAGGAGTGGTGAGAGAGGGCATCCTTGTCTTGTGCTGGTTTTCAAGGGGAACGCCTCCAGCTTTTGCCCTTTCAGTATGATATTGGTTGTGGGTTTGTCATATATGGCTCTTATTATTTTGAGGTATGTTCCTTCACTGCCTAGTTTATTGAGTGTTTTTAACATGAAGAGATGTTGAATTTTATCGAGGGTCTTTTCTGCATTTATTGAGATAGTCATGTGGTTTTTGTCTTTAGTTTTGTTTATGTGATAAATCACATTTATTGATTTGCGTATGTTGAAACAGGCCTTGCATCCCAGGTGGATAAGCTTTTTGATGTGCTACTGCCTTCTGTTTGCCAGTATTTTGTTGAAGATCTTTGCATTTATGTTCATCAAGGATATTGGCCTAAAGTTTTCTTTTTTTTTATTGTATCTCTGCCAGGTTTTGGTATCAGGATGATGGTGACCTCATAGAATGAGTTAGGGAGGAGTCCCTCCTTTTTAATTTTTTTGAATAGTTTTAAGTAGAACTGCTACCAGCTCTTCTTTGTGTACCTCTGATAGAATTCAGATGTGAATCTGTCTAGTCATGGGCTTTTTTTTTTGGTTGGTGGGCTATTTATTACTGGCTCAATTTTAGAGCTCGTTATTGGTCTGTTCAGGGAATCAGTTTCTTCCTGGTTCAGTCTTGGGAGGGTTGTTGGGGTGATCAGACCCAACAGCAGGTCGTGGGGGGACGAAGTCTGGTGGAATCAAAGGAATGAGAAAAAGACAGTTTGAGAGAGAAAGTGGGACCAGGGGGCCATTGTGAATGTGGAGGCTGTGAAGGCCCTGAGTTCTGGGAGCCCATGCTATTTATTGGTGCTCAAAGAGACAGGTGGTGAGGATGTGGGGGTTGAAAGGAAATGGTGTATCAAGTGAACCAGAAACATATGGGTACTTGAGATAATGGGAGTGCTAGAAGCAAGGAGCCAGCAAGTCTAGCAGACATGTAAGCCCTGCCTCAGCTTCTCTTCCAGCTACTCAGCTTTTCTCCCAAAAAAGGTGTATGTGTCCAGGAATTTATCTGTTTCTTGTAGATTTTCTAGTTTATGTGCATAGAGGTGTTTATAGTATTCTCTGATGATTGTTTCTATTTCTGTGGGGTCAGTGGTGATATTCCCCTTATCATTTCTGATTATGTTTCTTTGATTCTTCTCTCTTTTCTTCTTTACTAGTCTAGCTAGTTGTCTATTTTATTAATTTTTTCAAAAAACTGTTCCTGGATTCATTGATTTTTTTTTTTTTTTTGAAGGATTTCTGTGTCTCCATCTTCTTCAGTTCAGCTCTGATCTTGGTTATTTCTTGTCTTCTGCTCACTTTGGGGTTGGTTTGCTCTTGGTTCTCTAGTCCTTTTAGTTGTGATGTTAGGTTGTTAACTTGAGATCTTTCTAGCTCTTTGATATGGGCATTTCGTGCTATAAATTTCCCTCTTAACAGTGCTTTAGCTGCATCCCAGAGATGGTGGTATGTTTTCTCTTTGTTCTCATTACTTTCAAAGAACTTGATTTCTGCCTTACTTTCATGATTTTCTCAAGAGTCATTCAGGAGATGGTTGTTCAGTTTCCATGTAGTTGTGTGGTTTTGAGTGAATTTCCCAATCTCGAGTTCTAATTTGGTTGCACTATGGTCCAAGAGACTGTTATGATTTCAGTTCTTTTGCATTTGCTGAGGAGTGTTTTACTTTTGATTATGTGATCAATTTTGGAGTAAGTGCCCTGTGGCCATGAGAAGAAATGCATATTCTGTTGTTTTTGGGTGGAGAGTCCTGTATATATCTATCAGGTCTACTTGATGCAGAGCTGAGTTCAGATCCTGAATATCTTTGTTAAATTTCTGTCCTGATGATCTTTCTAATATTGTCATTGGGGTATTAATGTCTCCCACTATTATTGTGTGGGAGTCTGCGTCTCTTTGTAGGTCTCTAAAAACTTGCTTTCTGAATCTTGGTACTTCTATGTTGGCTGCATATATATTTAATAAGATAGTTAGCTCTTCTTGTTGAATTGAACCTTTTACCATTATGTAATGCCCTTCTTTGTCTTTTTTGATCTTTGTTGGTTTAAAGTCTATTTTGTCAGAAACCAGGATTGCAACCTCTGCTTTTTTTATGTTTTCCATTTGCTTGGTAAATATTCCCCTTCCCTTTATTTTGAGCCTATGTGTGTCTTTGTATGTGAGATGGGTCTTTTGAAGACAGCATACCGATGGATCTTGGCTAATTATTTAGCTTGCCATTTTGTGTCTTTTAATTGGGGCATTTAGCCCATTTACATTTAAGGTTAGTATTATTGTATGTAAATTTGATCTTGTCATCATGATGCTAGCTGGTTATTTTGCAGACTTGTTTATGTGGTTGCTTCATAGTGTCACTTGGTCTGTGTACTTCATTGTGCTTTTGTAGTAGCTGGTAATGGTTTTTCCTTTCTATATTTAGTGCTTCCGTCAGGAGCTCTTGCAAAGCAGACTTGGTGATGATGTATTCCATCGGCATTTGTTTGTCTGAAAAGGATCTTATTTCTCCTTTGCTTATGAAGCTTAGTTTGGCTGGATATGAAATTCTGGGTTGGAAATTCTTTTCTTTAAGAATGTTGAATATTGGCCCCCAACTTCTTCTGGCTTGTAGGGTTTCCACTGAGAGGTCTGCCATTAGTCTGATTGGCTTTCCTTTGTAGATGACCTGGTCTTTGTCTCTGGCTGCCCTTAACATTTTTTTTTTTCATTTTGACCTTGAGAATCTGATGTTTATGTGTCTTGGGGTTGATCTTCTCTTGGAATATCTTATTGGGGTTCTCTGCAGTTCCTGAATTTGAATGTTGGCCTGTCTTGCTACACAGGGGAAGTTCTGGATGATATCCTGAAGTATGTTTCCCAAGTTGGTTCCATTCTCCCCATCTCTTTCGGGTATCCCAATCAGTTATAGGTTTGGTCTCTTTACATAATTGCATATTTTTCAGAGGTTTTGTTCATTTATTTTCATTCTTTTTTCTCTAATCTTGTCTGCTTGTTTTATTTCAGCAAGATAGTCTTTAAGCTCTGAGATTCTTTCCTCTACTTAGTCTATTCTGCTATTGATACTGGTGATTACATTGGGAAGTTCTCATGTTATGATTTTTAGCTCCATCAGGTCAGTTATGTTCCTCTCTCAACCAGCTATTTTGACTATCAGCTCCTGTGTTGTTTTATCATTCTGAGCTTCTTTGCATTGGGTAATAACATGCTCCTTTAGCTCAGCGAAGTTTGTTGTTAACTCACCTTCTGAAGCCTACTGTGTCAGTTCAGCCATCTCATCCTCAGCCCAGTTCTGTGCCCTTGCTGGAGAAGTGTTGCGGTCATTTGCAGGAGATGAGGCACTCTGGCCTTTTGAGTTTTCAGCGTTTTTGCATTGATTCTTTCTCATATTTATGGGCTTATCTACCTTCAATCTTTGAGGTTGCTGACCTTTGAATTGGGTTTTTGTGGGGTCTTTTTTGTTGATGGTTTTATTGCTGTTGTTTTCTGTTTGTTTTTCTTTTAACAGTCACGCTACTCCTCCAAAGGGCTGCTGGGGTTTGCTGGCATTCTTCTTCAGACCCTAGTTGCCTCAGTTTTTTTCTTACCTGGAGATATCACCAGTGAAGGCTGTGAAACAGCAAAGATGGCAACCTGATCCTCCCTCTGGAAACTCCATTCCAGAGGTTACTGACCTGTTGGCAGCCTGAAGGAGGCACCTGTGGGAAGTGGCTGGAGACCCTGTTGGGTGATCTCATCCATTTAGGAGAAACAGGATCAGGGACCTACTTAAAGAAGTAGTCTGGCTGCTTTTTGTTAGCACAGCTGTGCTGCGTTGTGGGGGACACTTTCTTGTTCGGACTGTCTGGACTCTCCTGAGCCAGCAGACTGGATCAGCTGAGTTGACCAGACGGCAGAGATGGCGGCTGCCCCTCCTCCTGGAAACTCAGTCCTTCTCAGGCAGACTCCTTGTTACTGCTGGCTGGCTGGAATTCCAAGTCAGTGGGTCTTAACGTGTAAGGTGCCGTGCAAGTGGGCCTGCAGATCGATGCTGCTTGGATCCTTGGATTCAGCTCCACTCCTAGTGGTATGTAGGGACAGATCTGCCTTGCTGGTAATCCCGGGGGTGGAATATGCAAAACTCATGTATCTCTGTGTGTGTGCCCAAGCTGCTGCTCTACCTGGACGCCACACAGCTCTGTGTATTGGTGACATGGGCTTATGAGAGGATCTCCTTATCCTCTGGTTGCAAAGACCTGTGGGAGAAGTGTGGTTTCCCCAGGTGGGATTGCACAATCACTCACCACTTCTCTTGGCAGAGGTTGGGGGTTCCTTTGGCTCCACATTGCTCCCGGGTGGACTGTTGCCCCACCCTGCTTTTCTTCATTTTCTGTGGGTCAGGCTGTTTGTCTAGTCAGTCCCAGTGTGAGAACCTGGATATTTCAGTTGAAGGTGCTGAGTTCACTCACTGCTTTCATTCCTCTCCGTGAGTGCCGCAGACTGTAACTGCTTCTAATTGGCCATCTTGGCACTCTCTCCTGTTTGCTTTAAATGTGTACAGTTTAATTGCATGTCAAACATTCTGCAATGGAGTTTTTAAAAATGAAAAAAAAATTTCCAGAGATTTTGTTTTTCAAATAATTTTTCTAGTTACTTTTAGTCTTTGGAGGGCCCAACACAAAATTGAATGTATTTGCATGGAACACCCAACATAGGAAACAGTTTTAATTTTATTCATATTGTCTGTAATAAAGTAGATATTTCCCTTCTATAAGAGTTTTTTTGGCTGGGCGCGGTAGCTCAAGTCTGTAATTCCAGCACTTTGGGAGGCCGAGGCAGGCAGATCATGAGGTCAGGAGATCGAGACCATCCTGGCCAACACAGTGAAACCCCGTCTCTACCAAAAATACACAAAAAAATTAGCCAGGCATGGTGGTGGGCGCCTGTAGTCCCAGCTACTCGGGAGGCTGAGGCAGGAGAATGGCGTGAACCCAGGAGGCGGAGCTTGCAGTGAGCCGAGATCGCGCCATTGCACTCCAGCCTGGGTGACAGCGAGACTCCGTCTCAAAAAAAAAAGAGTTTTTTATGACCATGATGTCTCAGTCTTTTAAAAGTTTGTTGGACTTTTGATCTTTTTACTTGTATATACTAAGGAAAGGTCTTATGATATTTGGATTCATTCTTGGATTGTAAGGACGCACCAGTGGGCTATAGGTCAAACTGAGTTTATTACCTTAACCTTAGTTTTTGTTTATTCAGTTCTTTAGGCTTCAGAACAACAGTCTTTGAAAATAAAACACTACTTTTTTAAGAAGAGATAATAGCTAGTAAGGTTGCAAATAAAAGCCAGCAGGGACTGCATATGCTAGGTTGAATAGTCTAGTCTTATCATAGAAAAAGAACAAATTGAGTCAAGCCAAGGAGGTGACAGAGTGCTTAATGGTAACAGGAGATGGGTTTGGCACAAGAAAGGAAATGGAATAACCACATTGTTAAAGACTTATTTTATTATTTATGTAAGTGGTCCAATCCCTGGAAATAATAGAACAGCCTCTCACCTCTTATACCAATTATGAATAAATTTTGGGCAATTCTTTACTATTTTTGATTCTTCAGTATTTTACCAGGGAAGATGTTAAAAACATGGACTTAAAAGTTTTTTAATATGAAAATAAAAATCTATTGGGGAGGAAAGACTAGGAGGAAGACTAGGAGAAGGATGTTAGAAATAGCTTAATTAAACTAGTTGAATCTATTTTTATTTTTAAAAAACTTGAAAACCTATTTTATTCTTTCAGTGCAGATAATGAGTGAATTCAGGATATCATATAGTTCGATTTTAAAAAATAATGGTTGACATATCCTTAGAGCTAGATTATGGTATATTTTTTACTGCTTTTGTTCACAGGATATTTTGAATAATCTTGAATCATGTGACCTTGAGGATGATGATCTTATGCTTGATGTGGATCTGCCTGAGGATGCACCTCTTGAAAATGGTAAGTTGAGACAATATTGAACCTTCAGAGGTATATACTTGAGCTACTCGACTGTAGCCAATTTGATATTTGTTACTTGCAGACTTCTTAATCTTAATGGAGCCTTTCAGACTGAGAATCAGTCTTAAGTGAGGTAAAATAGGTTCATTTGCAAACTAACTTAAATATTTAAAACCTGATTTTGTAAGTCTTAGATATAATTCTCTATCATCCAATAACATTGTATACCATAAAGTAAGTTGCAGATAAGAGTTGTCTTTTTTTCTGTGTATGTACCCAGTTTTTCCTCCCTTTATCTCATTTTGATTTTAGGAAGAAATGTATTTACAGAAACATACCATCTTACTTGTGAAACACTATAATATCTTAATTTGATAAATATTTTATAGAGATTAATTCTGGGAATGTGATGACCTTCTGAATGGATCATTCTGTACATTTTACTCCCAATTCTAGTCTATCTTTCTCTCTAGAGCCAAGTAACTGCTGGGGTGAGGCTTTAGGTAATCCATATGGGAGAGGGGCCTTAGGTTCTTTTCACTCCAGTGACATAGCACTTGTAGGATTTTTTTTATCTTAAAGACTGTTGGAGAACCAGAAACCAGCATAAAAAAGCCCTGGAGGCAAAGGTTGAAATGGGGATACTCCTGGGGAGAGGGCTGCCCTTAGAAATCTGAGAATTTCCTGTCAATCAACATTTGCCTGGTCTCACAGGCCTCCATGGGCTGGAAATAAAGTGAAAATGGTGAGTGGGATCCTTTTATCCATGGTGCTAGAAAAATGCAAGGAATATTTCAGAGAGGGGAGGTGTCTGTTCCAGTGCTTCACTGGGGTGTTAGTAGCCTGCTTTGCTGCTTTACTACAAGCTTATATTTGTCATACTGGTGAGGCTTTTATTTTTCCTGCCAGAATGCTGTATGGCATTCTCAAAATCTCAGTTGCTTTCAAAATAAACGTGTATTTTTCTCATTCATGGATCTAAGGATTAGCTGGGAAGCTCAGGCTATGGGACTAGCTTGAGGTCTGTTCCATGTTTCTTCATTTTGAGACCAGGACCACTGTGGGGCAGGTTGTTCTCACGACAGCAGAAATGCAACAGGATGAGCAGAAACATGCATATTATGTCTCTTAAAGTCTTAGCTAAGAACTAGCACATTTTTTTTTTAGAATAACAAAAAATATTTTACTAAAACGTAAGATTTACAGAAGTTTCCAGATAAGCCATACGAAATGGTCACAAGATTTTTTGAAGAGGGGAATCTACACTTGACAGCAAAGTCACAATGTTGTTAGTGAGGGCTGTGATATTTGTTTAATGTTCCCATTTTAGTTCAAACAGTCAAGCTTGTCCATCTACATTGTCTAAATAAAGTTAGATTTGGTTAGAGAGCGTATTCTAAAGAACTGCTTAGCTGCTTTTAACCAATGCAGTTAGATCACCAAAAAACGGGAGAAAGGAGCCCATAAAATTAAAATAAAACCAGCTCCCTTCTCAAAAAAAAAAAAATAAAATAAAGAAAAACACCCACACCCCTGGAGCTAACCTGACAACTATCTTCATTCACAGAGGACACTTATTTCTAAGCACATTCTTTTGGCCAAAGCAGGTAACATGGCCAAACCTAACACCTTTGAGACTGGGAAGTGTACTCTTCATAATGAAGGCTCTGCACATGATAGAGGACATTGCATGTATAATTCTGTAAGGAGAGAATGAAAAGTTGAGGACAATATCCACCACTGTCTCACAGAGACAGAGAATGTTACACCTTTTTGTGGTTCTGCTGTCGCTTAGTATGCTCTGGCAAACAGCTGAGTTCTAGTGCTGAAAAAGAAAAAAATCACAGGCAACACTGAGGAAGAACAAGGAAAATGACAGAACCCTGAGGATTAGAGTAGTCAAAGGAGATAATCACTTAGATTGAATTGCAGCACAATTCTTTCTGGAGTTAAAAGACAAGACTTCCCAACAGAACAGTTTATTCAGTAAATGACAGAAAGCATCACTGCTATTGAATCTGAATTAGTGACTTGAAAGATCAAGTAGAAAAATATTGTAGAACACAGAGGAAAAACATAAACCATTGGAAAGTTATAGGGGAAGAATAATGAGACTTGATGATCTGGGAAATTTAATGGTAATTTTTAGGGCTGGTAGTGAGGAGTGAGGGATTTACTTCCTCGGAATAAATCACATGCTAGGTAATGCATTTTACTTTGACAGAATTGTAACAACTTCTCTTGGAAACTTTATGCCCTTTCTGAGTGGAAGTAGAAAGAAAGGATCTTAGAGCCTGCCTTATCTTTAGCAGACAACAGAAAGTTACCCAAATATTAGATAAAAGTAGAATCACAGGGAAATTTAGTCTTTGAGGTCTTGATTGGGGACTTGTGAAAAGTAGGAGGGAACTCTTGGGAACATCCCACATAAACAGTACTTTAGATTTTTCTAGAAGAAGGCAAACAACTATTGGCTATTTTGAGTAAAGGAACATTAAAGAAAGCATGTAAGAACATGGATCTAAAATATGTAGCCTCCTGAGGCACCAAAGATAAAATAGTATCTAGGTTTGGTACTATAGGAAAGTGGGAAATTTTTCTTTTTATGGCTCTTAAGTCCCGAACAATTATACACACCCATTACAGTTTTTTGGCTGGGAGGATGAGAATGTTACAGGGACTGATAGAGATTTAGGGAGTCTAATAATGTGCTTTCCACTACAGGTTTTAGTCCTTTATAGCTTCTGGTTGTTGATGATATTATGCAGGTTTGATAAAGATTTAGATGGGGGCCAGGCATGGTGGCTCATGCCTGTAATCCCAGCGCTTTGGGAGGCCAAGGTGGGCAGAACACAAGGTCAGGAGATTGAGACCATCCTGGCTAACATGGTGAAACCCTGTCTCTACTAAAAACACAAAAAATTAGCCGGGCGTGGAGGCACGTGCCTGTAGTCTCAGTTACTTGGGAGACTGAGGCAGGAGAATCGCTTAAACCCGGGAGGCAGAGATTGCAATGAGCCGAGATCACGCTACTGCACTCCAGCCTGGGCGACAGAGCGAGACTCCATCTCAAAAAAAAAAAAAAAAAGGTTTAGATTGGTCACTATGAACTATAATGAATTGCCACTAATTCTCCCAGTATCAGTGGAGTTTTGGCCCACAGAAGAGTGGCACCTCACTGAAATCTTTAATTTGGATACAAGTTTGCTGTGACCTCATTATGAATGACAATTGTCAGATTATCATTTCATGGAAGAAGCCATGAGGAGAGTATTTTTCTGGTGAATGCATTTGTGCAGTTAATCTTTCCCTATTAAATGTGGCATATGTAGTAGCAAAAATAAGGAGAGAATGTTGGTCAAATGTTTTCTGGACTTTCGTGAGTTAGGATTTGGAGACTGTTATTGGAGGAAAGTTTTTGGAGATTGTATTAATCCATTCTCACGCTGCTATAAAGAACTGCCTGAGACTGGGTAATTTATACAGGAAAGAGGTTTAGTTGACTTACAGTTCTGCATGGTTGGGGAGGCCTCAGGAAACTTGCAGTCATGCTGGAAGGGGGAGCAAACATGTCCTTCTTCACATGGCAGCAGGAGAGAGAAGTGCTGAGCAAAGGGGGAAAATCCCCTTATAAAATGATCAGATCTCATGAGAACTCACTATCACCAGAACATCATGGAGGAAACTGCCCCCATGATTCAATTATCTCCACCTGGTCCTGCCCTTTACACATGGGGATTATTGCAATTTAAGGTGAGATTTGGGTAGGGACACAGAGCCAAACCATGTCAGAGAATGTAGGGGCAGAAAAGTATGATACTTTTTCTCAACCATCTTAAGGGTCATGACTGACACACCTATAACAAAAGACAGGTTAACAAAAAAAGTGGAACACATTTATTTAATCAAAATGGTACATGACACGGGATTCTTCAGAAATGAAGACCCAAAGACCTAGGGAAAACCCTGATTTTATGCTTAGGCTTGGTAAAGAATGGACAGCTATATAGAAATGTGATTGGACAAAAGGTTATGATCTAATGGTGATAGATGGAGGGCGGGGAGGGTGACCCAGCAAGGCCTGTCTGTTCAGATTCTCTGTAGTATTCCTGCCTCCCAGGTATGGTGCAGAACCCCTCTGGAATGAGAGTCTTCAAGGAAGAAAGGAAAAGAGAGTGAGTGACCTTTCTAGGTTTTAGGGCTTCCTTTGAGGGAGAGGATTTTTAGTTTCTATGACCTGCCTTGGGGAGAGGAATTCTGGTTTCTGTAACTCACTTTGCAGAAGGAAGAAGGGCAGGAAACAGGAGGATAGGTAGATCTGAAAGACCTTGCCTCTGAGGCATTTCCAGTTTCCCTCAGTTCAAAGTACTCATCTTGCCAAAGTGCCACACTTTGTAGTATCATGTTCTGATCCCCAACAGAGAAGTCCACACCTGAGTGTTTTGGTGACCCTGAGTGTAAGCTAACACTTGCGGGGTCTAAGGTTGATATTTTAGTGCCTGTATCAATAAAACATTTGTAAGGTTGTCCTTTAATATTTAGAGAAATTTATTTTTGAGCTTAAGGGTAAAACAGAAAATTTGGTGCTTGACTTCCCCCTCAGAATACTTTGCTAATCACACTTTTTTCTTCTTTATTTCTTATCTCATGCTAAAGACTTCCTTCAGAAGGCCTATATTTTTCTCTAGCTGGGGTTCTCAACTCATAGTTAGGGCCCAGTCTCACCTGCATCTGCATCTGGTTGTGATCAGCACATTGGGTTTTTGAACTGGGATACCTTGAAGTTCACCAGTTTTTTTCTTTAGTTTGCCACAAGCCACCATCATTCCTTATGGTATTACACACATTCAGAGGGACTTTTCTTTCTTAATCTTATCTGTCCTGTTTTAAATTTAAATTTATCAGTCTCTGGGTCAGGGGCGGTGGCTCACGCATGTAATTCCAGCACTTGGGAGGCCAAGGCATGTGGATCACTTGAGGTCAGGGGTTCAAGACCAGCCTGGCCAACATGGTGAAACCCCTTCTCTACTAAAAACAGAAAAAATTAGCCAGGCGTGGTGATGTGTGCATGTAATCTCAGTTACTCGGGAGGCTGAGGCAGGAGAATAGCTTGAACCTGGGAGGCGGAGGCTGCAGTGAGGCAAGATCATGCCACTGCACTCCAGCCTAGGCAACAGAGCTAGACTTCATCTCAAAAAAAAAAAAAAAATTGTCTCTGGAAACCGAATTTGTCTCTGTCTTGTAATTTTGTTTGCTTTCTCATTTCTTCTCTATTGTTTCAGTTATTTTGTCAGGGAACCTTTAATCTTTTCTAAGAAACCATCAGCAGTGTTATTCCACATTATCTTCTTAACAGCGTTTAAAAATATATAAACACGTGATTGATGGATGCCTTGAGAAGTTAAACATGATACTTCCTGCAGAATCTTGGAGCAGTCATTTCTCTAGAGTTTAAGCCCACCTTGTCTAAGTTTGAACATTAGTCTTTTGTGGTTATGGCAAATGTTTGCTTCTAATGCTTACTTACCATTATGTCCATGTTTGAGTTCAAGTTTCAATAAAGATTCCTCAATTTGGAGTCTATATGTGGAGCCCATAACTTTTAGCAAATACAAAAGCACCACATCAGTTTCTACATTGTAATTGCTCACAATATTTAACCCATCTCCTGGCCTATTCGCCCGATTTGCTTGCTTCTTCCTCTGTGTGGACTACTGTGTGGATATCATTCAAATAACCTATCAAGTGGTTTTTTGGACAATATTTCTTGCTTTGGGAGTGAGTGGAATTTCTCTTTCCTGAATTGAGGAAAAATATGAATTCAGAACAGTTAAATGTAGATTATCCCTTCGTTATATAGAGTTACTTAAACTAAAGAAACATTTTAATACCATGTAGAAATACTTAACTGGGTCTTAACTGAATCTATGAATATAATACAAATATGAATTTATATATGATGTTGCTAAAGGCACTAAGCTAAAAGCAATTTTAAATCTTGAAGCCTGGGCATGGTGATTCATGCCTGTAAGCCCAGCACTTTGGGAAGCTGAGGTGGAAGAATCCCTTGAGGCCAGGATTTTGAGACCAGCCTGGCCAGCATAGCAAGTCCCCATCTCTTAAAAAAAAAAAAAAAAAAAAAAGACTCTCCATGGCGGCTTGTGCCTGTAGTCCTAGCTGCTGTGGAGGTTGAGGTGGAAGGATCACTTGAGCTAAGGGGTTTGGGGTTACAGTGAGCTATGATTGCACCACTATACTCTATCCTGGGTGACAGATTGAGAACCTGTCTCAAACAAAAAGAAAAACCTTCTCGAGATGATTACTTTAAATTTTCTTTTGCTATCTTATTTTCTACTTCTGACATTTTTGGACATAATGGTCACCATGCCTTTATTTGTGAAGTTTTCTATAACTGAACTTAAAAAAAAAAAAAAACTTGGTTTATTCCTGTAAGATGACAACAAATTGAAATAAGTTCAAATGTAAGGCTTCTTTTAAAACATGAACAAAAATTCTTTTTTCACATTATTAAATGTATATTTCTTCTTCCTCAAGGTGACTATAATGAATATAAACAAAATTTCAGTGTCCTTTTAAAAATGTTTTAAATTGTTATACATTTAGAGGAAATACATTAAAATGAATTCAGTATATATGAGAACTGAACATCTATACTTTTAAAACTACAATATCCTTTTTTGGAATGCCAAAGTTTGTTTTTATCTGGTATACTGTAATGAAACACTCGTCATGTTTCAAATTCAGGTTTTTGGTTCAGTGAAACAGTAATTTAAATAAGCGAGGTTTTTTTTTTTAATGGGGATTATGTTGATTTTTATAGCTTTTTATTACAAGGAATTCTGAACATGCAGGACTTGAACTTTCTCATGTAGTAGTTCTCAGACTAGAGAAACCTTTCCTGTTTTGTGGCTTGGGTTAGTGTTTAGCAGTATTTTTAGTAACCGTCCTAAGTCAGTAGCTATGTAAGCACTGAGTGAAGATGGAGTCACAGGGCAAACTGGGCTTGCTTCCCACAGGGAGGGCTGGGTTTTGAGCAGGAAGGAAGGCCTGTTCAGCAGTGCCTTGGGTACAACTATGTCTGAGTAGGCAGCCGGTAACACAATGTCTCCCTTGTGCAAAGTAACTCTCTTAGTGAGTGCTCAGATATGTGAGGAAAAAGTATTTGGGTAAGTGAAGAAGCTTGGGGTGTTTCAAAGAGATTCTTTTCGTGTTTTTGTGGTATTTGGGTTTAAGGGAGTGTACTGTTTGTTGCTGCAAACTACTGGCTTTGTTTTCAGTGGCATTTTAGACTTTTTGAACAAGCTCTTACTGCAGGCAGATTGAAGCGTCTTACTTTCCGAAAATGTGAGCTTAATTTTAAAAGTGTGATTTGTTTGTGATGAAAAGTTAATTTGTGCTTCTTGAGATCAGTGAAAATTAATTGTAGCAGTCCTTTATAGGAATGAGTTCTCTTAAAAATCTGCTGTTTCCTGTCATTTTCATTCTGAAATCAGAGCCAACTTGTGACAGTGATGAAAACCACCTAAAACTGATTATGAGTGTTTAAAATGTATAATGTTGATTTCAAGGTTAATTTGCCTGTTTTAAAACAGTGTGGCAGTTAATTGTTTACATGACTGTAATGTAAAAGTATTATAATTTACTTCATTTTGAATAATATTAAGTTCAGTTTTCACCAGAAGAACTGGTTATGCTTTTAGAAATCTTGATATTGTGATTAACATAAATGGCTGATATTTTTAAACTATTATTTTTATTTGATTTACAGCATTTAATTATCAAGCTATAAGAGTCAACTTTTATGGAGTATGTACATGTTTATAGTCTTTTGCTTTTGAATCTGTCTAGTGGAGTGTGACAATATGAACCGCTTTGACCGACCAGACAGAAATGTTCGGCAGCCTCAGGAAGGTTTTTGGAAAAGGCCACCCCAGAGGTGGAGTGGACAGGAGCATTACCACCTCAGCCACCCTGACCACTATCATCACCATGGAAAAAGTGACTTGAGCAGGTAAGTACTGTTCTGACTTAGATTTCATTTGCTGTCCTCTGATTTTGAATTATAATTCTCCCTTTCCCAGAACCCTCAAAAAACCTGTTTTTGTCTGGTTTGTTTTTAGAGGCACCAAAAAGCACTTCAAGTTTTATGTGGTACTAATTGGAATAATATGTCTAATTTGTTCTTTTTGGCCCAAATATTTTTTCATTAGTTTTATCTTAAATATAAATACTCTATTTATATCTGCTTTTTGGACTTCAAGTTATGGTATGATTTTCTAGCTGTCATTTGGAAATGATTAAATGTTAACTGTGTTAAATTTCTTAGTTTTTCCAAATAATATTTAAAATTAGTGCCAAGTGATTGGTCTTTTGCTCATGTAATAAGTTAAAATTTAAAAATTCCACAAGTACCATTAAAAACAGAAGAAGGTACTGTTTAGTGCTGAAGGTACTATTTAGTCTTTTCTTTTTCAAAGTAGAGGATAGTCTTTAAATTGGTCAGATCTTATTTTGTAATGAGGCTCCGTAGTCATTCAAACCTGGAATCAAAACCTGACCTGGCGCAGATTAGCTTTGCAAGCTTAGATAATTTATTTAAACCGTCTCTGCTTCACTTTACTATCTTTAAAACATAATTAATAATATCTTTATCTCAGTGTTTGAGAATCAGGGATAAAAGTGCCTAGAGTAGTGTCTAGTTTACAGTAGGCACTCTGTGGAAGTTATTAGTTTTTCCTTTTCACTTTCTTATCTCATTCCACAGGGATTTCAGGTCATTTTGGAGTGCATTTACAATACAAATAGTACAATTGGTTTAAAGAAATAATGGAAGAAAAACATGGTGTTGTGTAGTTCCTAAAGTGAGGGAAAAAATTGATTCTAAGATTCTTTGCAGCAAAAGCAAAGAATAAAATTTGATTTATTACAACATATACAGTACGCATAAGATAAAGGATGTGTTTTTTTCCTGAATTAATTTGTCAGAAAAGTTAAGCAACATTTTCAAACAACTGTGTTCCTTGGATGTCAGCAGTTGTAAGAAAAGAGAGGGTCCCTGGTCAAATTAGTATGAGAATGAATAGATCATAAACATTTTTTAAATGGTGGACTCAATTGTGCTTTTGTGTATAAATATAGTACTGTGATTTTGCAAAAGGTGGT
This sequence comes from Homo sapiens, assembly GCF_000001405.40. Taxonomy (NCBI): domain Eukaryota; kingdom Metazoa; phylum Chordata; class Mammalia; order Primates; family Hominidae; genus Homo; species Homo sapiens. The sequence goes on from NC_000010.11 coordinate 84,427,045, forward strand.
AAAAAATATAATATGTAGCCATTTTCCAAAACATATGATCACAAATCCCTTCTACTTAGTGTATTTTAAGGGACTATGGTGTGGATCATCCACATGAGTGATTCTTACTGAGGAGGGAAAAATGCACAGCATTCTTAGGGGTTGCTAATTTGACTGACTTAGCACAGAACTTCCCAACAATTGGGCTGAGGTACACTGGTTTGTTGTGAATGGTTATAGATTGATCCGTTTATTGAAACTCTCAATCTTTGGGGTGTTGGTGCTGGTTTTGAGACACCTACATCCACCTCAGCAAGTTATGGAATGGGTGGTACAAAAAGAAACCTCCTCTAAGACGAGCCTTACCCCAGCATACCTTAAAACTATTAATTTCTCTCTGTGCCTTAATATTAGAAAGGTTTGGGTATACTAGCCCCAGGGCCTTTTCAATATTGCATGTGCAAAAGTCCTGTTTCCATTCTAAAACTTCCTGAGTATTGCTTCGCTTTCTTCTGTCCCTTAACTCCCGTTATTATTGTCATTAGTTATAGGATCATGCCTTATCCGTAACTCAGGGGTGTTGGGAAGACTGGTGGTTGAGAACTAATACATCCACTCATGTTCTCATCGTAATACTGCTCTGTCTTTTTACCTGGCCTAATCTTCCTCTCTTCTTTTCTGCCCAGACCTCCTTTTTTTCTACACCTTTTGATATGCTATCTGGAATTCTCTCATATCCTAGCAAACTCACATTCTTCATCTCTTCACCTACATTCTCCTAATCATAACTGAAACCTAGCTCTTTCCCAAATATACTACTTCCCCAGTAACATTTTTACACCAAAGATTCTTATTTTCCAGTCACCCTAATACTTCACTGTTTAGAGATGGGGTTTTTGTCCTCATTTCTCATTGTCACTTCTAAAGGAAGTGATTGTAAGTCCCATTTTTTGAGACTTAGGGCATTTGGCTGTATCAACTCTTCTTTACTGGTTCCTACCTGGAGCTTACAAAAGGCTTGGCCCTTAGCCCACTTTCCCTCTTTATTATAAGCTTTGCTGCAGTCCTGAGTGGCTGCAGTGTTCATGTACATGAGTCATTTAACCCTCTGTTTGCTTAGTCCTGTAGGACAGTGGTCTCCAACCTTTTTGGCACCAAGGACCAGTCTCCTGGAAGACAAATTTTCCACAGGCCATGGGTGGGAGGTTGGGGGATGGTTTTGGGATTGGGATGAAACTCTTCCACCTCAAATCATCAGGCATTAGTTAGATTCTCATAAGGGGTGTTCAACCTAGATCCCTTGCATGCGCAGCTCACGATAGGGTTCGTGCTCCTATGAGAATCTAATGCTGCCGCTGATACGACAGGAGGTGGAGCTCCTGTCAGATAAGCAGGAATGCTTACATGCATGCCCTCTGCTTACCTCCTGCTGTGTGGCCTGGCTCCTAACAGACCACAGACTGGTACTGGTCCCTGGTTAGGGGCTTGGGCACCCCAGCTGTGGGATTTTCTATATACAAGATATGTTATCTGCAAATAGTTTTTACCTTTTCCTTTCCATTTTGGATAAAAATGTCTTTTTATCTTTTGCATAATTGCTATGGCTACAACCTCTGTTGAGTAGAAGTGGTGAAAGCCAATAGGTGTGTCTTGTTTCTGATATGGGGGGAAAATAAATATTTTAAATATTTTATTGTTAATGTGATGTTAGCTGTGGATTTTAAAAGATACTTTCTATCAGTTTGAAGTTCCCTTCCATTCATGGATAGTTGAGTGTTTTTATCATGAAAGGGTGTTGGATTTTGTCAATTACTTTTTCTGTGTCTATGGAGATAATCTTTTTTTTCCGCTTTCATTCTACTAATGTGGAGTAATACTTTGGTATGTTGCGTGTTGTGTTGGTATGTTGTGTGATTCAGTTTGCTAGTATTTTGTTGAAGATTTTTTTTGTGTGTGTATGTGTATATATATATATATATATATATATATATACACACTTAAGAAATACTGGTCTGTAGTTTTGTTTTGTTTTTCTTCTTGAGATATCCTTGTCTTGTTTTGATATCAGGACCACACAGATTGAATTGGGAAGTATTCCTTTCACTTCTACTTTTGGGAAGAGTTTGTGAAGGATTTTTGTGAATTCTTCTTTGAATGTTTTGTAGTATTGACCAGTGGAGTTATTTGGGCCTGGGCTTTTCTTTGTGGCAGTTTTTTGGATTGCTAATTTAATTTTTATAGATATTCTGTAGATGTCTTTTTGGTCTTGTTGGTTTATAATGTTGCTTAAATCTTCTGCTTCTCATATATCTCTAATTGTTCTGTCCATTATTGAAAGTGAGGTGTTCAAGTCTCCAACTTCACTATATATTGTAGGGAAGGTGTGTTAGCAATAAATTCTCTGTTTTTGTTTATCTGGGAATGTCTTAATTTCTCTTTTATTTTGAAGGATAGTTTTGCCAGATGTAGACTTCTTGGTTGGCAGTGTTCCTTGTAATATTTCAACTCCCATGCTTTCTGATGAGAAATCGGCTGTTAATGTTACTGAGCGTGTCTTCCACATGATGAGTCCCCCCGCCCTGCCACCACCACCCCCCCCAGCTTTTTTTCTGCATTAAGGATTTTCACTTTTTCTTTGGCTTTCAACAGTTAAATTATAATGCGCCTCTCTTTTAGTTTATCATATCTGTAGTTTGTTGAGCCTCCTAGATATACAGATTAATGTTTTTCATCAAATTTGGGACATGTTTGGTCATTAGTTACGTTCTTTCTGCCCCTCCCCACTTCGCTCTGGCCACTTAACTACGGGAATGTATGAGCATCATTCCTTGCTTGTCACAAAAAATTTGAAAAAAAAAAAATACAAATAATGTGAAAACTACTTAAATCAGATTTCTCCCTGGCCAGGATTTGTTGTTGTGTTTTTTTGTGGTTGTTTACTGACTTTTCTAGACAGATTCTGTAAAAAGTCTGTATTTTAAAAAAATATTTGACGTCTTTGCTTGGTTTGATTAGTGGTCAGCTAATGGTTGGATGGAGATTTCATTGAATGCCTTGAACTAGTAAGTCTCCCAGCCTCCACCAGGGGGCTCTGTGTGTTTGCTTAGGCACACCTGCAGTCCCTGTAAGTAGTTTGCAGCTTAGGCACACCTGCAGTCCTGTAAGTAGTTTGCAGCTCTGCCTTGGCCTTCACTTCCTGCTTGTTTAGAGTTTCAAAGTCAGCCAAAGGTGGAAGATTAGGGGATTCTCTGGTATTTCCTTGGCATGTACATACACAGCCTATACATGTATATGTTCTTCTCTATTCCCAAGACTATATTGGAGCATTTCAAAGCCTCTTGTGGACATTTCTTTCCTCAGGTTTTCCTTTTATGATTTTTGGTCAGCTTCTTGTTTGTCCCAATTGATATTGCCATTTCAGGCAGCTGAGATTTTAAGCAGTGCACTAGGGATAAGGGAATTACCGAACAAGCTTTGAATCAGCTCAAACCAACTCCTGAGAATGGGCTTTTTCTAGGGAGCGGCCAGGGAGATCAAATCATAGCAGTTCTTTGGGAGTGGTGCTTTTTGGAGAGTTCTAAACCCATTTTGTCCCCCAATCTCTAGTGACTGCTGGATTTCATAGCTGCCATGCTTGTTGTAATGCTTTTGGTTCTCAAGCTACCACAAAGGTAAGGAGATGGGTGTGGCTATTGGATAAATTAAAATGCCACAGAGCTTGCTGTTTCTTTGAGATTCAGCAGTTTTTATTGATTAAATGCTCCTTAGTTGTTGCAAGCATTTGGCTGATTTCTAGAGTTCTGAAAAAGTTGATTTTGACAAATTTGCCAGTGTTCTTAGTGCTTTAATGGAGGAATGGAGTTTTAGAAATCTCTGTTATTCTGGCAGTGTTTCTCTTCATTTGTCATGCTTTATTTTTCTTTCTTTCCTTTTAACTAATAGATTTTATTTTTTAGAGCAGCTTTGGGTTTACAGAAAAATTGAGCAAAAATAGAGTTCTCATATGCTTTCTCACCTTCCATTAGATACAGTTTCTCCTATGATTAACATCTTGCATGATTGTATTATAATTGATGAGTCAATATTGATATTTTATTATTAACTAAAATTCATAGTTTATATTAGGGTTCACTCTGTTTTGTATATCCTATGGGCCTTGACAAATGTATAATGCCATACCATTACAGTATCATACAGAATAGTTTCACTACCCTTCAAATTCTGTGTGTTCCACTTATTCATCCCTCCCTTCTTTTCCTGAACTCCTGGTAAATACTGATCTTTTTGCTGTTTCTACAGTTTTGCCTTTTCCAGAATGCCAGAGAGCTATAATCAGATAGTAGATAGTCTTTTCAGATTGGCTTCTTTCACTTACCAAAATACATGTAAGGTTCCTCTATATATTTTTGTGGCATCTCATTTAAAAAAAAAAATTAGCCAGGTGCAGTGGCTCATGCCTGCAGTCTCAGCACTTTGAGAGGCCAAGGCAGGAGGATAGCTTGAGTTCAGGAGTTCAGGAACAGCCTGGGCACATATTGAGTCCTCGTTTTGACAAAAAAATCAAAAAAATTAGCTGGGCGTGGTGGCACGTGTCTATAGTCCCATCTACTTGGGAGGCTGAGGTGGGGGGATCACTTGAGCCCAGGAGGTTGAGGCTGCAGTGAGCCGAGATCACCCCACTCTCCAGCCTGGACAACAGAGAGAGACCCTGTCTCAAAAAAAATTACTGAATAATATTTTGTTGTATGGCTGTACTACAGTTTGTTTATTCATTTACTTACTGAAAAACATCTTGGTTGCTTCCAAGTTTTAACAATTATTAATAAAACTGCTGTAAACATTTATATACAGATTTTTGCACGGGCGTACATTTTTCACCTCATTTTGGTAAATATCAAGGAGCACTATTGCTGGGTCATATGGGAAGCATATGTTTAATTTGGTAGGAAACTGCCAAACTGTCTTCCAAAGTTGCTTTACCCTTTTGCGTTTCCACCAGCAATGAATGAGAACTTCTGTTGCTGCTCCATATCCTCATCAGCATTTGGTACTATGCTTTGGACATTAACTATTAGGTATGTAGTGGTATTTCAATGTTGTTTTAATTTGCAGTTCCCTAATGATAAATGATGTTGAACATTTTCTCACATGCTTATTTGCCATCTGTATATCTTCTTTGGTGATGTGTCTGTTCAGATCTTTGCTTATTTTTATTTTATTTTTTATAATTTCAACTTTTACTTTAGATTCAGTGGGTACATACGCAGGTTTGTATCACATATACATGGATATATTATGTGATACTGAGGTTTGGGATACAGATGATCCCATCACCCAGGTAGTGAGCATAGTACCCAACAATTTTTCAGCCCTTGCTCCTCTTTCCCTCCCCTGTCTAGTAGTCCCCAGCGTCTGTGTTACCATTGTTATGTCTGTGAGTACAATGTTTAGCTCCCACTTATAAGTGAGAACATGTGGTATTTGGTTTTCTCTTCCAGCGTTAATTCGCTTAGAATAATGGCCTCTAGCTATTTGCCCATTTTAAAATTGGGTTGTTTATTCTCTTGTTGAGTTTTAAGAGTTCTTTGTATATTTTAGATACCAATCCTTTATCAGATATATGTTTTGCAAATAATTTTTTCCAGTCGGTGGCTTATTCTCTTGATAGTACTTTTTGCAGGACAGATTTTCAAAAATTTTTAACATTTTCAACATCCATTTTTTCTTTCTTGGGTTGCACTTTTCATGTTATATCCAAAAAACTCATTGCCAAATCCAAGGTCACCTGGATTTTCTCCCTTTTCATATTATAGGAATTTTATAGTTTCGCATTTTGCATTTAGGCCTTTGATCCATTTTGACTTAATTTTTGTGAAAGATTTAAAGTCATTCTTTTTGTTTGTAGATGTCCATTTCTAGTCTCATTTGTTGAAAAGACTATCTTTTATACTCTGTTTTGAATTGCCTTTGCTCCTTTGTCGAAGATCAATTGACTGTGTATATGTGGGTCTATTTCTGAGCTCTCTATTGTATTCAGTTGATATGTCGGTTCTTTTGCCAATACCACACATGCCATTTTGATGACTGTAGCTTTGTATAGTAAGTCTTGAAGTTGAGTAGTGTTAGGCCTTCGACTTTCTTCTTCTTCAATATTGTTTCGGATATTTTGGGTCTTTTGCCTGTTCTAATAAAGAATTTAGAATCACCTTGCCGATATCCTCAAAATAACTTGCTGAAATTTTGATTGGGATTGTCTTAAAATGTTACCACAAACATAAAAATACGTACATTTAACTTTTAGTATAAAGTTTTTATTAATGGTGATGAAACACTAATGATTTTATGAAATCAAAACTGTGACTCAGGTTACATAAGAAATGAAGAAGAAAAATCTCCCCACCCCACACACATACACACACACACACACATACACAAGTATACACACACAGATATACAAACATCTGCACTTGCCAGTCTAACCTATAAATCACAAACTTTTAGATTAGCATGAAATCACACATCTTAGTAATCAAGAAGTTCTGTTGGGAGTGGGAAGAATAAAGTTATTTGTAAGTATATGGGTGTAGCCATAGAATTTGGAGAAATTCCTTTAAAACTGCATTAAATAATTATGCAACAATGATTTGTATGCTTGTGGGTTTAATATCAGGTTCTGCTACTGTATGTGAATTCAGTTTAAGTGGGTAAAGACGGTTATCTCTTCAAGATTCTTTTCTCTAGTTTGCATCTTTTTTTTTATCTTGTTGATTTTATTGGCAGCACTTAAAGAGCAAGGTTAGATAATATTGGAGACAGTGGGCTTTCATTCTCATGCCTTTGAAACCACTGAACTCATTTTTGCCTTCACCCATATCTCTAATGGTTCATTTCTTCATATTTACCTGCCTGCCTGGGCTATGATCGGCCACATAAGATCTCACTTCACTAACACATGGCTACTAGCATTCTAGTGTGTTCATGCCACAGCAGCTTTGCAGTCTTCATGTTGCTTTCACTACCGGAGTTTCTGTTAGAAATTCATGAATGTTAAAATTTATACAGAGGTACAAATGTATCAACTTAATGTGGGGGATTATGGCCAGTAATTCCCCCTTCATCTCTTATTTTTTATTACCCTTCTTACACATTTGCCCCTGGATTTGTGTCTTTAGTCTTAGAAAGTGATTTTACCTCCCATTCTGAGATTTATTTTTTAATGTGGAAACTGCATCATCTTCTCAGAATCTGAAATCTCAAATTCTGAGATTAAAATCTTCATTATCTTTCTGTCCCGTGTTCCCGCTCCCTCCTATCTTCATAGTCTCCTTTTATTTTCTGAAAATAATCCCTGTTATATATTTGCTTTCTGTTCCATCTTTCCCTCTTTCTGTCTCTTAGATTTCTCTGTTATATTGATTTTTTTCCCCAGAAAACTTCATGTGTTTCTCCCAGTGGGATTTTATGTCACTTTTAATTTATTGTCAGATGGTTTAGCAACAAATACATAGATGCAAAGCAAATGTGTCAATATTTTAACAGTTGGTAAATATAGGTGAAGGGTATATTGTTGTTCATTGTAGTATTCTTTTGATACTTCTATTTCAAGAAATGTTTCAAGATAAAGAGGTTGGAAACTTAATAATATTATAGTAAGTCATTTTTATTTAATATTTACTATATATTATGTATTAGTCCAAGCACTTTAACATATATTACCTCATTTAAGTCTTATACTAACCTAAGGAGACAAGTATTGTTATTTTGCCCATTTTATAGATTAGGAAATGAAGCATAGAGGGATTTGGTAACTTGCCCTGTGTGTTGTGTGGCTAGTAAGTGGCAGCTGAATTTGGACTCAGATCATCTATGCAGATAATATTAAAATTAATAAGATATGGCTCTGTTTTCAAAGGGCTTACAATCCAATTAGAGTTGAAAAGTATATAGGTTTCTTTATGCTGTGAAACAAATTAAGGATCATAAAATGATAGTTTTATCTAGTTGAGGGGATCAGGAAGGGCTTCTGAAGAAAGTAGCATTTCAGTACTAAGAGAAAATACAGGGTTAATTTTGAATCTCATGGTGGAGGTATTTGAAATGCAACCTAAGGCATATAAACTTTGTTCAATGAGCAGTAGAGAACATTGAGAGTTAAAGAAACTATGGCCCAAAGATAATAAATATTTTCAACAGCTAGTTACTGTCAGATAGGATTTAAACCTAAATCTGAGGTGAGAGGTGGCTATTGTGGCTTTTCTAGATGTCAGTTCTTTGTTTCAGTTAGTGAACAAGACTTGTTGACTCTTCCTTAAAACATTTTAAATTTATTAGTTCCATGCATTTGGATCACATTTATGTCAATATATGTCCATATTCCATACCTGATTCTCATGGCGTAGCCTGCAGACCAGTCTCCTTCAGTGTATTCCCTTTCTAATGCTCTCTCACTTGACAAAATAAGAAGTACCTTTTAATTTGATTATTAGCTATTCAGATTATAGTTCTAAAGCAGTGCTTTTGTCATGTGACAGCTACAGAATTTTAGAATCTTGGAGATATAAGCTTTTAAAAAAAATTCTAGTGGGTAAAATACATGTTCCTTACCCATTCAGTGCAAAAAAAAAAAAAAAAAACAAGAACAACAAAAAAATAAATAACCAAAAAAACCAAAAACTCAGATGCAAAGGAAAAGAGTACACAGTTCATTCCTTCATAGAGTTTGTAATTTGGCCTGAATTGCAAACAAAGTATACTGTAATAAATACTATAATGGGACACAGTACAGGTCGCTATAAAAACACCTGTGGAAGTGCCAAGTCCTGCCTTAGGGGATTTAAGGAAGTGTTCTCTGAAGTAGTGTCAGCTGATTTAAGATGAAGAGGAATTATCTAGATCAAGTGTGCACAGTGGAGGGCAGAATGGAGAGACTGACAAAGACTACTCAGAGGTTGTGGGTTTGGAGATGAGATTGTAGGATGCTTTGGGAATCTCAGGTAATTAGGTATGAATTAAGAAGTCACTCTGGGCCCGGCGCCGTGGCCGACGCCTGTAATCCCACCACTTTGGGAGGGCGAGGCGGGCGAATCACGAGGTCAGGAGATCGAGACCACCCTGTGAATGGTGAAACCCCCGTCTCTACTAAAAATACAAAAAATTAGCCGAGTGTGGTGGCGTTACTTGTAGTCCCAGCTACTCGGGAGGCTGAGGCAGGAGAATGGCGTGAACCCGGGAGGCGGAGCTTGCAGTGAGCCGAGATCACGCCACTGCACTCCAGCCTGGGCGACAGAGCGAGACTCCGTCTCAAAAAAAAAAAAAAAAAAAAAAAAAAAATGCCGGGCGCGGTGTCTCAAGCCTGTCATCCCAGCACTTTGGGAGGCCGAGGCGGGCGGATCACGAGGTCAGGAAATCGAGACCATCCTGGCTAACACGGTAAAACCCCGTCTGTACTAAAAATACAAAAAATTAGCCCGGCGTGCTGGCGGGCACCTGTAGTCCCAGCTACTTGGGAGACTGAGGCAGAGGAATGGCATGAATCCCCGAGGCGGAGCTTGCAGTGAGCCGAGATCGCGCCACTGCACTCTAGCCTGGGGGACAGAGCGAGACTCCGTCTCAAAAAAAAAAAAAAAAAAGGAAGTCACTAGTCACTGCGGGAGGCAGGTGTGTTGAGGGAAGAAGATGAAGAATAAATAGGATTCAGGCTGTCTGTGGCATCATAAAATCAACAGTTTGTAAATTTCTAAAAATCTTTTTCTTGGGTTAAAAGAAAGTTGGGCCTGAAGTACTTAATGAGAAGTAGTTTCAGAGAAAAATAATCTTGTAAAAATCGACCTCATACTGAATATTTGAGAATTCAGAGATGTGGGAATATTTGTTAAAAGCTAGAAAATTTGGTAGAAACCATATTTCTACGTTTTCAATATGGTTGAAATTTAATGCGTTGGAATTTTTGCACATTTAATGCATTATGAATTTAATTTTAATCTTGATTTTAAAATAGCCATTATATTGGAGATAATATTTTTTCAATGTCTTATTTCTTGAAATTTTGCTAGAAGTTGAAGACCAGCCTGAGCAACCCGTCTCTACTTACTAACTAGCCAACCAAATACACACACACACACACACACAGAGAGAGAGAGAGAGAGAGAGAGACAGAGAGACAGAGAGAGACAGACAGACAGCGAGGGCGATTTCACATATATTAGAAGTTCTCGGCCGGGCATGGTGGCTCACACCTGTAATCCCAGAACTTTGGCAGGCCAAGGCGGGTGGATCACCTGAGGTCAGAAGTTCAAGACCAGCCTGGCCAACATGGTGAAACCCCCTCTCTACAAAAATACAAAAATTAGGCATGATGGTGGGTGCCTGTAATCCCAGCTACTCGGGAGGTTGAGGCAGGAGAATCGCTTGAACTCCGGAGGCAGAGGTTACAATGAGCCAAGATCGTACCATTGCGCTCCAGCCTGGATGACTGAGCGAGACTCTGTCTCAAAAAAAAAAAGTTCTCCTCACAGTTTAAGAACCAACTGGAATTAAGGTAGCAATTTTTAAATTGCTATAACTATGACTTCTGGTTAAAATATTTTGCTTTTTACTCCCATGAAACACATTACTTTTATTTTTTTCCTTATTCAGCATGTATGTTATTGTATGAAACTGAAGGGAAATGTAAAAAATTTTAGAGTAGTTTTTTTTTTTTTTTTTTTTGAGACGGAGTCTCACTCTGTTGCCCAGCTTGGAGTGTAGTGGTGCGATCTTGGCTCACTGCAACCTCCGCCTCCCAGGTTCAGGGGATTCTCCTGCATTAGCCTCCTAAGTAACTAGGATTACAGGCACGTGCCACCATGCTGGGGTAATTTTTTGTATTTTTAGTAGGGATGAGGTTTCACCGAGAGTAGATTTTTTTAATGCACTGTAAGATTAGGAAATATGCGGTATATATAAAACTTTTATAAAAGCTTAAGTAACCTTTATTGGAAAATATGCTTTATTAGTAATATAAAAACAAAAAATTCATCTTAACTGCCTGTTGAGACTTTCAAGAAATGGGAGTCCAAGGATGTATACAAACTGAGAGTTAATGTTGGTAGCATCGTTATGGGGCTAAAAAAGGTGTGCAATTTAAGAAGTTAAACAAAGTTAAAAACTAATGAACAACAGTCAGTGCAGAAAAGGAAGAATAAGTTTAACTTTTTCACATAAAGTCTTTCCAGAGTATTGTTTCTATTCCGGTGCCTAAAGAAGGTTTATTCTTCCAGTATGTAAAATACACAAAAGATGGGGGATACAGAAGATAATTGTTTTAATAAACTACAGCTGATTGCGCCTTTTGTGGAAACACATCAGTGACTGAGGTGAGTGGAAGTCAGAGCCATGGTGATAATGATAAGTGATTTGTAATAATCACTGCAATAATTTCATTATCTTTATTTCTTTCTGAAATTGTATTGTATATCTTTTCCCTCCACCTTCTTCCCTGCCCTTCCAGAGGCTCTCCCTATAGAGAATCTCCTTTGGGTCATTTTGAAAGCTATGGAGGGATGCCCTTTTTCCAGGCTCAGAAGATGTTTGTTGATGTACCAGAAAATACAGTGATACTGGATGAGATGACCCTTCGGCACATGGTTCAGGATTGCACTGCTGTAAAAACTCAGTTACTCAAACTGAAACGTCTCCTGCATCAGGTGAGTACATAATGAACATTTCCAGCTCTGATATTTTGAATTGCAAAATGGATTGACTTTAGTTTTTTTTAAAAAAATACTTACTGGGTTTCTCATGTCTTTTTAGATTTCTGTAGAATAATGCTTGTAAATAGTATATAGTAGAAAGTTTTGTGGAAAAAACCTGTGGGATATTGCATGAGGGTCTCATTACACAGTCCCTGGTATTTATGAGTTGTGTGATATTTGGTAAGCCAATCTCTGCTTCTGTTTCTTCATTTTCATAATACCTACATTATAAGGTTGTTGAGAGAATTAGAAATAATAGTTGTAAATTGGCTAATCCAATGCCTGAAACATAGGCATTCAGTATTCAGTGGGCTGCTACTATGATTTCAGCTAAGTGACAAATAAGAAACAACAATTTTTGCTTTACATAATGATAGTCATATAATTCAGTTTTTGTTTGGGATCTTCAAGTTTAATCTTCTCCTGTTTTTTTTTTTCTTTTCTTTTTTTTTTTTGAGAAAATCTAGACTCATAGCAGTGATGTCACTTGTCCAAAGCCACAGGATAACCTGATGTTGGATCCTGGCATCTGATTCAGTAGTATTTACTTTGTTTTAGCACTTACAGACAAGGTCAGATGTATAGCAGAAAATCAAGGAATAAAATACTAATTTTAAGTCATAGATACCTTTCGTTTGGTTTTAAATCTGTATTTGTACTTTGTAGAATAGCCAACTTTAGCTTAAAACTACAGTTAAGAAAGAACAGCCTGACTTCTCTCTGCTGCTCAGTTTGCTTTCTGTCTTAGAATTCCTGGTGGCCATCAAAACAAAACATGCAGTATATGCACACGAAAGGCTAGTTGAAGTGAAATTTGGCTCCTGTGTTAGAAATGATGGTTAATGTAAATATTCTGTTAAAGTCAGGTAAATTGTTTTCTGTTACTCAGGGATCTTCTGTACTACTTCTCTCCATTCTTGTGGATATTTGACTACTGTTTTGAAAAGAAACTTTTTTGAGCTAAGGAACAAAAGAGTGGAGAATCCTTTTTGGATATGAGATTGTTAACTTCTCTTGAGGCAGAAATAAATTATATGATTGAATTATCCAGACATTGAGCTTACAGCCTAGTTCAACTGTAACTAGAAAATAGGCATTGGTATATAGTGTTTTTCTGTTGGCTGGTCTGGGGAGATGATTTTTTGATTAGGAGTTTTAGTGTCAAAGGGAAGAGGTGGTAGGGAATGGTGGGAAATAGGTAAAATATGTCAAATATCCACTGTGAGCCAGTCATTGTACTAGCTGTACCACGTACCATCTTTTGTGTTTGGGTGTTTTGCCCTGAATCATGAAGCATGACTAAATAGCAGCTAATAAGACCAGGCCACTTCTAATAATGAAAAAAGTAGCATAATTCAGGTAGTAGTAGGTGAATTGGTAACCAATGATTGGTACCATAAAAATAAAAAAGTGTTTTTTGAGGTTCTTTGTGTAAAGTTGTAAATCTCTTAATGGTTCTTTTCTGTCATTATGGCCTCTGAACTCTTAGGTACTACACACGGGTAAAATTGACTTTATTTTTTGTTTATGTGATGACAGCAAAATTATGAGAAGAAAATTGCAAAATCTTTGTAGGTCATCTTTAAAGTTTCCCAAATGCTAATAGAAGTTAAAAGATGACTGAGTTCAAAATTTCATGTCATTGCCTCTTTAAATTTGTTTCTAATGTGACTGAATTTAAAAAAAACAATGTGATACGTATATATAGTTTTCAAAAAAATTCATACACTATTCGAAGGCTTAATGAAAAAAACAGTATGTCTGGCCCCCTCCCCACCTCAGTCAACCTGTTCTCATCTGAACAGGTTACTGTCCAAAGCTTCTCTAGAGCTGTCATGCAGGGACTTACTTTTGCCATAATCTGGGACTGGATCCATTCTTTCGATAGCATGTCTTCTTTCTTCCTAGTTTATTCTCTCACTTTGCTGGAATATATCTTTAATTTACTTCCTAAGAGAGGATTAATGAATGGCACACTGTTTTAGTTACTTCATTACTGAAAATCTCTTTATCCTGGTCTCACATTTGATTGATATTAATAAGTTTGGTTGGTATGAAATAGTTTCGTTGTAATAGAAGAGAGTTTTCCCTTAGAAATTTGAGGGCATTGCTTTTCTAGGATCTTATTTAGCCGTTGAACAGTCTACTACATTCTGATCCATTGTACATTGTGTTTTGCCTGTTTTTATCTCTGGAATATTTTTAATCTTTTATTTCTAGCATTCTGCAGTTTCACAGTAATGTCCTTGGACTTGAGTTTTGTTGTAGTTGGTTGGTTGGTTTCCACTTGATGTTTTGGCATTTAGTAGGCTCTTTGGAGATTAATGTAGTGTGAAATGTTCTTGTTATTTCTGTGATTATTCTCTTTCCTTTATTTTATCTGTTATCTTTCTGGAATCTTTAGTAATCAGAAACTAGAATTTCTGAATTGAATCTCCTTACCTTTTTATTTTTTGTTATACGTTTTTCTTTTTCTTTGGGTTTGGTTATGTTTCCTGGTATATTTTCTCGACTTGATATTCCAGCTGTCTGTTTTTATTTAACTGTTTATCTTGGCAATCATATTTTCAATTTCCAAGAACTTTTGTGTGTACTATTCCTTATTCATATCATTCAACTGTTTTTTCAGGAACTATGGTAAGTAGAGAGTTTCTGTTTGTTTTGTTTCATTTTATTGAGAATTCTTTGGTTCCCTGTATTCTTTCTCTTTTTAAATGGTCATTTTGTTTTTTATGCTTATTTTGATTTCTCTTTCTTCTGGAATATTTATTCAAATTTATAATGATTCTTTGTTGTTTATTCAGGACTTTGTACATGGCCATGCCTGTCAACTGGCTGGTTTTACTTTATGGCATTGTGTGGATATCAGTGGACCCTCAGCATCTACTGAGTGAAGGTTTTTTCCTTCAGAGGTGGTTGTAATTTATCCAAAGAAGAAACCTGATTTTATGCTGGGAATAAAGTAGAAGACTGGGAAAATGTTTTTTTTTTTTTTTTTTTTTTTTTTTTTTTTTTTTTTTTGAGACGAAGTCTCGCTGTCTCTCAGGCTGGAGTGCAGTGGCGCGATCTCGGCTCACTGCAAACTCCACCTCCTGGGTTCACGCCATTCTCCTGCCTCAGCCTCCCTAGTAGCTGGGACTACAGGCGCCCACCACCACGCCCGGCTAATTTCTTATATTTTTAGTAGAGACAGGGTTTCACCATGTTAGCCACAAGGGTCTCGATCTCCTGACCTTGTGATCTGCCCACCTCGGCCTCCCAAAGTGCTGGGATTACAGGCGTGAACCACCACGCCTAGCCAAATGTTAGTTTCTTACACAGACTTTCAATTCATTCCCACATTTTTAACCTTAAGGGGTCATAAATGTATGTTTTTCTCTTTCTGGCAAAATGGGTGATAATGAGAACAAGACAAATTCAGAAGGTTGGACATTCAGTAAGAAAAGTTGAGATCTCTTTGGCTTCTTAGTGTCCTAAAAAGATGGTGGGGGAAGGTGATGGTGCTACATTAAAAAAAATGTAAAGGACAAGTAGATACAGTGTGAAATTTTGAATTGTATATTGATTTGGACAGATCAGCTATAAAGGACATCTTGGATTAGTTGGGGAAATTTGAACATAGGCTGTATATTAGATGAGATGGAAATTTACTAAAATGGAAAGGGGAGATTGTTGACTGAAAAAAGTAGGTTATAAGGCTGTATGTATATTATGATCATTTATCTATCTATATCTACATCTGTATATTTCTCCAGAGGGATATGCTCTAAGGTGTTACTAGTGATGATTCCTGGATGGTAAGAATGTAATTTCTTTTTTGTGTGTTTTTTAAAAAATCTCTTTTCTCATTTCTAATTCTCCACGAATTATTGTTTCTGGGGGGAAGAAAAGGTTTTTTAAAAGGTATGTGCCTTATCCAGTGATCAGTTAATTAACTGGATATGTTAAAAATGTAGTATGCTCACACTGCCTGACTCCAAACTATATTACAAGGCTACAGTAACCAAAACAGCATGGTGCTGGTACCAAAACAGATATATAGACCAATGGAACAGAACAGAAATAATGCCACACATTTACATTTACACACATTTACAACCATCTGACCTTTGACAAACCTGACAAAAACAAGCAATGGGGAAAGGATTCCCTATTTAATAAATGGTGTTGGGAAAACTGGCTAGCCATATGCAGAAAACTGAAACTGGACCCCTTCCTTACACCTTATACAAAAATTAACTCGAGATGGATTAAAGACTTAATTATAAGACCTAAAACCTTAAAAACTCTAGAAGAAAACCTAGGAAATACCATTCAGGACATAGACATGGGCAAAGACATCACGACTAAAACACCAAAAGCGATGGCAGCAAAAGCCAAAATTGACAAATGGGATCTAATTAAACTAAAGAACTTCTGCACAGCAAAAGAAACTACCATCAGAGTGAAGAGGCAACCTAGAGAATGGGAGAAAATTTTTGCAATCTGTCCATCTGACAAAGGTCTAATATCCAGAATCTACAAGGAACTTAAACAGATTTACAAGAAAAAAAACAACCCCATCAAAAAGTGGGCAAAGGATATGAACAGACACTTCTCGAAAGAAGACAATTATGCAGCCAACAAACATGAAAAAAAGCTCATCATCACTGGTCATTAAAGAAATGCAAATTAAAACCACAATGAGATACCATCTCATGCCAGTTAAAATGGCGATCATTAAAAGTCAGGAGACAACAGGTGCTGGAGAGGATGTGGAGAAATAGGAACACTTTTACACTGTTGGTGGGAGTGTAAATTAGTTCAACCATTGTGGAAGACAGTGTAGCGATTCCTCAAGGATCTAGAACCAGAAATACCATTTGATCCCGCAATCCCATTACTGGTTATATACCCAAAGGATTATAAATCATTTTACTATAAAGACACATGCACACGTATGTTTATTGCAGCACTGTTCACAATAGCAAAGACTTGGAACCAGCCCACATGCCCATCAATGATAGACTGGATAAAGAAAATGTGGCATATATACACCATGGAATACTGTGCAGCCACAAAAAAGGATGAGTTCATGTCCTTTGCAGGGACATAGATAGAGCTGGAAACCATCATTCTTAGCAAGCTAATACTGGAACAGAAAACCAAACACTGCATGTTCTTACTCATAAGTGGGAGTTTAACAGTGAGAACACATGGACACAGGGAGGGGAACATCACACACCAGGGCCTGTCGGGGGGTAGGGGGCTGGGGGAGGATAGCATTAGGAGAAATACCTAACGTAGATGACAGGTCAATGGGTGTAGCAAACCGCTATGGCACATGTATACCAGTGTAACAAACCTGCACATTCTGCACATGTATCCCAGAAGTTAAAGTATAATAATAATAAAAAAAAAATGTAGGATGCTAGAGAAGAGGCAGAAGACATAGATAGATTTAGGGCAGGTTGTCAAGGACCTTGTGTGCCATAAAGGTAGCTGGGGCATTGTTCTGTTGGTAGTAGTAAGCCAAACAAGCGACTTGGCCAAATTGTTATTTTTTTAAAAAAATTACTGTAAGGGATATGTAGAAAATGAATAGCAGAGGGAGTGACTTAAGTCATAATATTTAGGAGGCTGTTGCATCCATTCAAATTTTAGGCTAAAGTCGTTAAATTTATTTGGACATTCTTCTAGGTTCTCTGATATACATTATCTCTAGTCTGAAAAGTAGGTAATATTGGCTTCACCCTCATAGCTGGAAAGGGTGAGGCTCAGAAAACTAATTAGTGATACAACCAGGATTTTTTTTTAACCCTAATCTATATGACTCCAAGGCCTGTTGCACACAGTGGTGTTCTAGAAGATACCTTGAGGGACAGCAGGGAGAAGAGAGTGTGAAGGAAACATACAACACTAATTCTACCATCATTCTGTGTCCCCTTAGCCAAACCCAAGCAAAGGAATCTTTGTTTTATTAAATAGTACTGTTTAAGAGTTCACTTGAAAAAAGTTCTCCCTGCACACAAAATTTTAAAAAATTGTAAACCATTATATTTGGCCTTTGATCTTTTATTTGTGGTTTTACTCAAATTAAGATTACTTTATAGTTTAAGCATCTCTTTTGTGTACCTCATTCTACTCATCACAACATCATTATGGGATAAGAATGACAACAGTAGTAATTCCATTTTAATGGTCAGAAAACTAAGACTGAAATTTAATTGTGCTTTGCAAGATCACCCAGTTGCATATTAATGTAGAGTGCATTTTAAACTCAGGGCTTTTTAATTATTTTAGCTTAATACCTCTGTATAGTTTATTGCCTGATTTAGAAATTTTGAATAAGAATTTTGACCCTGACATGAAGAACGTGGGGACATGATGAAAAAGATAGTTTTTTTGTGGTATCTTGTCTCTCTCTTTTTTTTTCTGAGTTGGAGTCTTGCTCTGTCGCCCAGGCTGGAGTGCAGTGGTGCAGTCTCGGCTCACTGCAAGCTCCGCCTCCTGGGCTCACACCATTCTTCTGCCTCAGCCTCCTGAGTAGCTGGGACTACAGGCGCCCGCCACCACGCCCAGCTAATTTTTTGTACTTTTAGAAGAGACGGGGTTTCACCATGTTAGCCAGGATGACCTCGATCTCCTGACCTTGTGATCCACCCGCCTTGGCCTCCCAAAGTGCTGGGATTACAGGCGTGAGCCACCGCACCTGGCCGGTATCTCTTTAAGTCTCTATACCCTGTTTCAAAAACTTCTTAACAAAGTGTAATATACATACAGAAAAGGGTATAATTAATAAGTATTTATCTTAATGAATTTTCAGAAACTGAAAATACCTGTGTAGCCAGCATCTAGCAAGAAATGAAACATTACCAGAACAGAATCCTCTGCTTGCCCATTCTCATGGTGGCCAATGGATTTCTGAAAATATAGATGAATTTGTCTGTATTTGAACTTTGAAATGAAATGAAATAATATAGGATATACTTGTTTTATATCTGGCTTCTTTTGCTTAATATTATATTCATGAGTCATCCATTTTCTGCATCATTCTCATTGCTGTAGAGTATTCCATTGTGTTAATATGGCACAGTTTATTTCATTTGTTCTATAATAGATATTTGGACAGGTTTCCTTTTTTGTTGTTTATTATGAACAGTTTTGCTGCTGTATTCTAGTATGTGTCTTTTGGTGAACATATGTATGCATTTTTATTGTATTTATACCTGTAAGTGGGATTGCTGGGTTAATTATAAGTTGGGTAAATATTCAGCTTTAGTAGATACTACAAAGGTTTTCTAAAGTAGTTATACCTACCCACTCTTTCCCTTTCTCATTTCTTTTCATTATTTTTTGTTTGCTCTTATCATATCACAGTCATCATCTGTTTTGACCTTGCAATAAGAAATGAAGAATTTAAGATGGAGTAATGGAAAGGCATGATGATACCTCTTCCTAACATTTTATTTGCATTGCAAAATATTTGATTCCTATGATTTATATTATGTCTACTTCAGGATGCTTGTTTTGGGGATAAAAATAAAGGAGTATATAATAGTATTTTATGAACTGTCAAATGTGATATACAAATGTTTAGTTTCATTATTCCCTCCCCTCCAACGTTGAGAATAAAACCAATAATTTTTCCCTCACATAATTCTCCGATTCACTGTGTGTGGGGGCAGTGGGTGTAGTGGCAGTGGTAGGTGGTGGAATGTTAGTGGCATCATCCTAAGTGGGGTTCACCAAGAGCTAAGAGGCTACTGAATGATTTCCACTTGGTAGCAAAGAACCAAAGAAGAGCCAGAGCATGCCTGTTTCCCTATCCCCATATTTCTCTCATCACTCCAGGAAAAAAAGGAGTTTATGAAATATTCATAATAAGAATATATACAACATAAGGGTTCAGTTTAACTTAGAATGTGAAGGAGCTTGTACTCTTACCCACCCAGATTAAGAAATAAGACATTAATAAGCTCCCTGTATGCTCCTTCCTGATTGCAGTACCTTTCCTTTCCAGAACCTAGAGTTTTCCCTTGTTTTTCCTCTCATTTTTACCATCTGTGTTTGTATTTCCGTGAATATAAGGTTTGCCTCTTTTTTAACTTTATATAAGTGAAATTATAATGTGAGTATTCCTCTATGGCTTCTTTCATTCAACTTTTTTTTAAGGTTCATTCATGTTTGGCTCTACTTCATTAATTTTCATTTCTCTATTGGTGCTCCAATCTATGAACGAAACATAATATCTTTGTCTGTTTTACTCTTGATGTCCATTTTGTTTGTTTCCAGTTTTTTTTTTTTTGACTCTGACAAATAATATTCCTATGAACATTTTCCCGGTACAACCGTGAGAAAGTTCCTCTGAAGTATCTAATTAGAATTGGAATTTCTGAGTCCTGAAGCATGGAAATAGTTTACCCTAGAAAAACCAAACTGTTTTCCAAAGTAGTTCAGTCTTTTTTACTCCCCTCAAGTAGTAGATGTTGTTTTTCATTGTTTCACATGTGTGCAAACTTGATAATACCCAACTTACGAATTTGTGTCATATGGATAGAATATAGTGACATTTAATTGTGGTTTTAATTTACATTTCCCTGATTGCTAATAAAGTTGAACCTTTTTGTATGTTTATGGAATGTTTGTTGCCCGATCATATGTTTTGTGTGTATGAGAGCGAGATTTTTGTATATTCTAGATGCAAGTACTTTGTTAGTTATATGTGTTGCAAATATTATCTTCCATTGTGTAGAGTGTTTTTTCACTGTCTGATATCCTTTGATGAAAAAAAGTTCTTGGTTTTAATACAGTGAATTTATCAGACTTTTTTCTTTGTGGTTTGCACTTTTAGAAATCCTTGTTTGAAAATCCTTTCTTGCTCTGAGGCCATAAAAATATTCTATTCTTTTCTAAAAAATTAAGAATTTTGACCTTCACAATTAAATCTCAAATAACTTGGAATTGATTTTGGTGCATTTAAAGTATGAGGTAGAGGTCCACTTTTATTTGTTTTTATCTGTGGGTGATCAGTGGATGGATTCAGGGCTTAAAGTGTGAAGAGTTCGTTTCTTTTGTTTTGTTTTGTTTTTTGCAGCAGAGTGTTGCTGTGTCACCCAGGCTGGGCAGTGGTGCAGTGTCGGCTTACTGCAGCCTCGACCTCCTGGGCTCAACCGATCCTCCCAAGTAGCTGGGACTATAGGTATGCCCCACCATACCCGGCTATTTTTGTTATCCTGCTAAGATTCTGAATCCTTATGCATGGCTGCTCCCACTCTTCCGTGTACCCTTTTCTCATACTACTCCAGCTCTGACTGCTTGTCAGCCCATTGGACTCTGATACTCCACACCAATCCCCATCTCCAGATGGACGCCTTCTCACTCTGCTTGGCCTGACACTGCACATCAGTTGAGTCTACGCATGGATGCCCTCCTTACCCATTTTGGATCTGAAACCTGGCATTGAGCCCTTTACTCATTGTCATGCCTGAGCTCTGGCAGTCTTTGCCAGGCCATCCTGTGTGTGGATATTCACCTCACTCTTCTTTGACTCTGATAGCCCATGCCAGGCTGCTGATTATGCACATACACTCTATTCTTTCCACTTAAGTTTGACTCTAATATCAAGCTGTTTCCCCACCCCTCATGGATACTGTTTTCACTCCTTTTGGGATATGGCATATATTGGTAAGCTGCCTCCCTATGGAGACATGCTCTTTCAACCTACTTAGGCTCTGAAACTTCCTGCTGGGCTTTTGGGGTGGAAACCTATTTTGCTCTGACTTACCTAATGGCTTGTTAAGAAAGGAATAGGAAGGTGAAGAGGAGAATTTAAAAAAAGTATCAACTTTATTGAGACAGAATGTACATTCAAATAAACTGCACCCATTTTAAGTGTACAGTTTGTTTTGATGAATATATGCAATTGTGTAATTACCACCACATTCAAGATATAGACCATTTCTGTACTGATAAAGTTCCTTCATTTCCCTTTGCAGTCAGTTCTTTCTCAAACCCGGCCCAGGCAACCACTATTCTGCTTTTGGTTCTAAAGTTTTATCTTTCTTAGAATTTCATCAAAATGGAACCATTTGTTGTGTACTCTTTTTGTTTCTGAATTTTTTTACTCGCCTTAATGGTTTTGATATTCATCTGTGTTTTGCTAGTATCAGTAGTTCATTTCTTTTTATTGCTGAGTAGACTCCATTCTACATATATGTACCACAATTTGACTTTTATCAATTTATCTGTTGATAGACATTCAGGTTGTTTTTAGTTGTGGAATAATTGGGATAATGCTGAATCTCTACGTTTCAATGATGAAAGTTAATAGGAATAAATGTAATTAAGAAAAATCAGGCCAGGCGCGGTGGCCCATGCCTGTAATCCCAGCAATTTGGGAGGCCGAGGTAGGTGGATCACCTGGGGTCAGGAGTTCAAGACCAGCCTGGCCAAAATGGCGAAACCCCATTTCTACTAAAAATACAAAAATTAGCCAGGCATGGTGGCGTGTGCCTGTAGTCCCAGCTACTTGGGAGGCTGAGGCGGGAGGATCACTTGAACACGGGAGGCAGAGGTTGCAGCGAGCTGAGATCATACCAGTGCACTCCAGCCTGGGCAACAGAGTAAGAGTCTGTCTCAAGAAAAAAATCAGAATAGACAATTCCAAGGTGGAGTTTTGGGTTCAGGCAAATTTTCCTACTTGTACGATGTTGGAAAAGTTGCTTAAACTCTCTGTGCTGCAGTTTCCTAGAAAAGATAATAGAATGTAATAGCTCTTACTTCAGGACTGTTGTGAAGAATGCATGAGGCAATTCCCATAAAATGCTAACGTAGGGCTGGGGGCGGTGGCTCATGCCTGTATAATCCCAGCACTTTGGGAGGCCAAGGTGGGCAGATCACCTGTGGTTGGGAGTTCGAGACCAGCCTGATCAACATGAAGAAACCCCGTCTCTAGTAAAAATACAAAATTAGCTGAGCGTGGTGGCGCATGCCTGTAATGATCAGGAGGCTGAGACAGGAGAATTGCTTGAACCCAGGAGGCAGAGGTTGCGGTGAGCTGAGATCGCGCCATTGCACTCCAGCCTGGGCAACAAGAGCAAAACTCCGTCTCAAAAACAAAACAAACAAACAAAAAACACATTAAATTGCTAACATAGTATCATCCATAGTATCTTAAAATGCTAAGCATACTATGCTGATAGTATTCTAAAATGCTAAGCATAGTATGCTGATGTTTCAGCATAACCTGATACATGTAATGCAGTTAATGCATGTTAGCAGTTAATAATAGCAACAACATGTTTCATAGTAACATGAAAGTCAAGGGTTTTTAATTGCTCACAATTTTATGTAGCTGCCCAGAAAGCTAATTTTATTTACTTCAATACCTGTGTTTGTTTATTATTATTCTGTCCATACCAAGGATCATGGTAGTAATGGAGATAAAAATAAAGAGGACACAGTTTTTAACCTGTACCCAGTACATTGTTCGAAAACTATAGGTTAAAACCGGTTAGTGGGTCTTAAAATGAATTTTCATCATGACTAGAATTTTTGGTAATGAAGTAAAACAGTATAAAACTATCAAAAGGACATCACACGTAATAAGGACAAATACTTTTTCATGAAATTTGTTTTTAGTGAGAGAAATATATGTATATCTCCCTATATTACACACATGGATATGTGCATACACATGTAAATGCATACCTATTCATGTATATATGTACTTGGTTGTGTTATAAAATGTATTTTTATTGTGGATCAGTGTCCCCACCCCCCAAAATAGAAAACTCTGTTCTAGTAGATAAACAATACTATGCTCAAGACTCCAAGGCCAATAAATCATAGAGCTGGGACTTCAGTAGTAAATAAGGCAGCTATCACTGCATCAATAAAACATGAAATTATCAATAAATTTACTGAGAGACATTTGTGATGTTTTATTTTTAAAAACCTGAGAAACTTTGTAGAAACCATTTACGTTCTGTGGGAAGACCAAATATTATAAATGCTACAGATATTAAAGTAGTAATCAAGATAGCTAGCTTATAGTCTAGGGGAATATACATGTATTAAATTAAATAATTATGAGAATGATGTGTTGCAAAGGGTAACAAATTAGGTGTTATAAAAAGATTGTGTAAGATACAATCTGAGTGTATAATAAATTGTGTGTTGTATAAAGATTGTACAAAATACAATTTGAGTGTATGGTGTGTATCTACAGTTTTTCTCAGTACGATTTACAGATTTAATACAGTTTCAGCCAAAATCATAACAGCTTTGTTTTTGGAATTTATCAAAATGACTCCAAAATTGGAAACATCAAAGGATAAGATTTGTGTACATTGAAAAGGAGAAAGGGGAAAAAACCCTTTAGAGCAGGGTATAATACTGACACAAATAGACACAACACATAGAGCAATGAAAGAGAATAGGAAACATAGAAATATGTGCTGATGTATTTAGTAAAAAATAATTGGCTATAGAAAGGTTTTTTTTTTGGTTGGTTGGGTTTTTTTTTTTTGTTTTTTGTTTTTTTTTTTAAAGAACAGGGTCTTGCTGTGTTGCCTGTGCTGGAGTGCAGTGACTACTCACAGGTGTGATCATAAAGTACTGCAGCCTCAAACTTCTGGCTTCGAATGATCCTCCTGCTTTGGCCTCCCAAGTAGCTGGGACTACAGGCACGTGCCGTTGCGTCCACCTGCATATAGAAAGAGTTTATGCAAAAGTTACTGAGGAAAATTTATTAGTTTAGGAAAACTTAGTTTCTTATACTGTAGCAGAACACAGATGGCTTGAGGAGTTGGATATTTTTTAAAAACCAAAATCTAGAAAAATTAGTAGAAATTAGGAATATCTTTAAGTGCCAAAACAAACCTACAGGAAGGGATATCTGGGTTCAGATATGTACAGACGTAACAGATATGTAAATGTGTAGGTTCAATAAAAAATTTAAACAGAAAAAATTTGTAAATACTATTTGCTTAGAATATTATAAAGGTTCTATTTATATATAACAACATTCCAGTTAACTTGGATGCCAGATAGATATGTTTTTTATTTCAAAGTGTCTTTGCCCTGACCATCTGTGAGGATCACTTCACCTCTAAAGCGCTTATTAAAATCAGATTTTATAAGTCAGTGTTTTTAAAATCCTCTCAAATGTAGCTTGAATTAGTAGATTTTAAATCCCACTGTTGAATTTTACAGTATTACTCAAAAATTATTTGTAGTGCACATTCTGGACTGTGTGATGTGATGTGATTGTTCATCTATATACCTTTGTATTTAAAAAAGAAAAAAAACTTACAAAAAGAAAAGAAAGAAAATGTCTCTGTCCTCTTCCTCTGCTCCCTTTCCTAGGATGCCTCTTGTCATTGTGTTGTAGCATATCTGAAACACAAGGCAGCTTTGTTGACATCACTGATGATGCTTGTTAGTAGGGATTTGTCAGTGCTGCTAAACGTTTTTGTTAGTCATTTCAAGTATCCATGTCCATTGCAGCTGCTCTGGAACTCACAGGAAGATCTCAGTTTTTGCAAACTCATGGAAGAATCACCTGGGTAAGATGGAGTTTGTTACAGGGTTTTCAGCAAGTTAACATGTGGAAGAATTATAGTATTAGAACAAAAGTTTGCCATTGTGATGTGTCAAAAAAGAAGAGTGGAAGATGGTTTGCTGACAATAGTCCTCTAATGCTTTGAGAATAGAGGAAGGTTTATCCATCTTTAATAAAATGCTGATAATGTATTAGCATCCTAATTGCATTCAGAGTTCAGAAATTCTAACTAGAAACTGTAGAGACTGCTAAAACATTTCACCTAGTAAAGCAGTCCAGAATTCCTAGACAGTTGGTTAACTGTGAATTACTTATTTTTTGTTCAGTTGCTATGGATTTTTTGTACTATTTTTGCTCCTGTGCATTTATTAAATATGTTTATGCAAAACACTTGGAACAGTACCCAGCACTGGTCAATAAATGTTAGCTCTTTAGTATGTATAATGTGAAACATGAAAATTGAATGCATGAAGTTATTTCTTCAGTATTTTTTAGAAAGAGTATGTTTTCTATTTTATGATCCCCGCCGCCCCCCTCCCCCCACCAAATGTTTCCTAATTTTGGCCTGGGCACTTTCCTTTTAGTCAAGGATTAATAGAGAGTACTAACCATTGGTTAGTGTCAGAGTTATTAGGAGGGTGGTTATTATTTGATTCAGTTGTTGTTATATTCCTAATCTTTAAGGCTCTTGTGCTTTAATGGAAATAATAGCTTTTTTATCTTTTTGATCTCCTAAAATCTGGACTGCTAGACTGTTTAATAAAAAGGAGCAGAATTTTTTGAAGCATATTAATAACTTAAACACTAGTAACTCCTAGTTGTCTTGGGCTGTCCCATGCATTTATTTTATTTCATTTTTTTTTTCAGTTTTCAAAAATAATGACTTGGTATATGGGGCTTTCACTTAATTTATTTCTAATTTCTAATTTTTAAATTGATCAGAACAATATATTTCTATGATATAAGTTCTTTGGAAGGTGTTAATGTTTTCTTTGTGGGCTAGAACAGAGTTTGGAAAACTTTTCTTTAGAAGATCACGTAGTAAATATTTTAGCCATTTTGGGCAAGACACAAAATTGAGGCTATTATGTAGATAAAACATTTCAAATGCGACCATTTAAAAATGTGAAAGCTTTCTTAACTGTAGTAAAAAGAGGCAGCTGGCCAGATTTGTCCTGTGAACCGTAGTTTGTTAATCTCTCGCCAACAGCGTGGTCAGTTTTTATGATGGCTCTGTTCGTTTGAATGGAATATATATTTTCTGTATCTTAGGTAGCAGTATGTCTATTATATCAGGCTTGTTAATTGTACTATTTATATCTTGCTTATCCTTACTAAATTTTTGCCTTTGATGTGTGAATTTCTGAGAGTAGTGTTAATCTCCTGCTATAATTACAGATGTCTCAGTTTCTCCTTTTAATGCTGTCCATTTTTGTTGTAGTATTTTCAGGCTATTGTATCAGGTATATACATGTTTATGATTGGTACATCTTCTTGGCAGATTGGTCCTCTGATTACTAATTAGAATTCTTTGTTTATCTTTATTAATACTTTCCTTCTTTAATGGTACCCTGCTTCTCGTGTTACAATAATATTGCTATTTCAGCTTTTTGTGGGTGTGATTGTTGAGATTTATCTGGTGTTTCTCTCTCCTTTTTACTTGCTTTTAGCTGTTTTTTGATCAAATCTTATCTTAGTTTTTTAGAGCTGCCATAACAGATTACCACACCTTGGAGGCTTACATCAATAGAAGTTTATTCTGTCATAGTTCTGGAGGCTAGAAATCCAAAACCAAGGCGTTGTCATCAGGGCTTTTCTCTGTCTGAAGGCTCTGTAAGAGAAACTTGCGTTTCTTCTACCTTCTAATGGTTACCAGCAATCCTTGGGATTCCTTGATTTGTAGATGCATCTCTCCAGTCTCTACTTCCATCTTCACATGACCTTCTCCCTTGTGTGTCTGTGGGTCCAAATTTCTCCCTTCTTATAAGGATATCCGCTATATTGGATTTATGACCCACCCTAATCCCGTGTGAACTCAACTTGATTACATCGTAAAGGCCTATTTTCAAGTAATGTCATATTCACAGGTTCTGGATGGACATGAATTTCTAGGGGGTACATCATTCAAGCTAGTGCAGTTCTATTGAGATGCAATATACACAGTAAAATTCAGCCTTTTGGTGTGCAGTTTTTTTTAAGTGTTTAATAAGCATATTTTATTTAAATAAATCCTCTCATAGGAAATGAAGAATTCATTGCTTTTACTTAGAAGAAGGCTGTTAAATAGATGTCAAATTTATATATGCAGCTCACCAGTATTTCCTTATTGGCAACATCTGTATTTCCACAATACACTTCCCAAAAGGACTTCTAAGTCTCAAAATTCTGTCTCCTTTGATGTGCTTCTCTCTTGATTACACCCAGGCTCTATTAATGGTTTGGTTCATATCATTATCTCCTTCTTCATATATTTTCTTTAGAATATTCATCAATCCCTCACTAGCATCTGTTTCAGTATCATAGGAGGGTTTCTCTTTTTCTTTGCACTTGATTTGGTTTGGCTATGTCCCAACCCAAATCTCTTCTTGAATTGTAGCTCCCATAATCCCTACGTGTTGTGGGATGGACCTGGTGAGAGGTAATTGAATCATGGGGGAAAGGGTTTTTCCCATGCTGTTCTCATGATAGTGAATAAGTCTCATGAGATCTGATGGTTTTATGAGGGGCAGTTCCCCTGCACATGCTCTCTTGACTGCCACCATGTAAGACATGCCTATGCTTCTCCTTCGGCCATGATTATGAGGCTTCCCAGCCACATGCAGATGTGAGTCCATTAAACCTCTTTTTCTTTATAAATTACCCAGTCTCAGGTGTCTTTATTAGCAGTGTAAGAACAGCAGTCTTTTTCAACCTGAGCCAGGTAATCCCTCCCACCTTGTGTTTTCCACTTTCTTTCTTTTTTTCTTTTTCTTTTTCTTTTTCTTTTTTTTTTTTTTGAGAAAGAGTCTTTGTCGCCCAGATTGGGGTGCAGTGGCGCAATCTCGGCTCACTGCAACTTCCACCTCCAGGGTTCAAGTGATTCTCCTGCCTCAGCCTCCCTAGTAGCTGGGATTATAGGTGCCTGCCACCATATGTGGCTAATTTTTGTACTTTTAGTAGAGACGAGCTTTTGCCATGTTGGCCAGGCTGGTCTCAAACTCCTGACCTCAGGTGATCTGCCTGCCTCAGCCTCCCAAAGTGCTGGGATTACAGGCGTGAGCTACTGCGCCCAGCCTTTTCCACTTTCTTTCTGCATAAAATAAGAACTGTATCAGTCTTGACCTTTTTTGAACTGCCTTCCACAGAAATGAGTTTCAGGAGATTGTTCACAGTCATGGAGTAACTCCTCCCACTTAGATTCTTTACCAAAAGATCAAATGACCTCTCTGTAAAATGCACCTGCACATTCTCAGAGGGAACTTGATGAACTCCAGTTAAGGTAATGTAGATTTTCACAGACTTATCTGACTGATCCCATCCATAATTACTGGTTTTCACTGTATATCCCATTGTAACGGGAGCAACCACAGCATCTGGCTTTTCATTATCAAGAAGTTCTGCTTTCTTCTATGATTTCTGTTGCATCTTGTTCTGGATTTCTGTCTCAATTTTGGATTTTTTCACCTGTAAGGGCATCACGTACTCCTTTCCTAGTAGCCTTCTCCAGCAACACCTTTGCTTCTTCTAGATGTTTCTGTAGCTCTTCCAAAGCCTAGATCGGGCTGGGTCAGGCCAAAGACCCGAGCTGCAGCCACACAGGGGAGAGAACAGGAAACGCCATGCAGAGCCCTCAAATCAAACACAGACCCCCACCTGCATGAATTCAGTGTACAGTTTTATGAGCTTTAATTGACAATTGTGCAGCTATTACAATCCCCTCCCAGAATTCCTTTTCTTTTAAAGTCAATTTCTACACCCACTGCTAGCTCCTGGCAACCACTGATATGAAAAGATTATCATATAAATGGATATGATATAGCCTTTTGAGTATAATATATAGCCTTTGAGTCTGGCTTTTTTTACTTAACATAATGCAACTTGAAATATTCATTTATGCTGTACCGTGTATTAGGAATTCGTTTCTGTATATTGCAGAGTTAGTGTTCTATTTTAATGCTACCAGTTTGCTTATTCATTTACCAGCTGAAGGGTATTTATGTTGCTTTCTACTTTTTTTGCAGTTACAAATAAAACTGCTGTGAACATTTGTTTACAGATTTTCATGTGAGCATGTGTTTTTATTTCTCTCGGGTAAATACTTGGGAGTAGGATTGCTGGGTTGTATGGTAAGTGTAAACTTAACTTTTTAAGAAACTACCAAACTGTTTTCCTTGGTGACTATATCATTTTGTATTGCCACTAGCAATGTAAGAATGTAACTATTGTTCTGCATTCTTGCTGGCACTTGGTATTATCAGTGTATTATAAAAGCCACTGAATAGGTGTTTAGTGGTATCTCATTGTTGATTTAATTTGCATTTGTGTAAAGATTAATGATATTGAGCATATTTTCATATGACTGTTTGCCATTTATATGTCTTTTTTGGTGAAGTGTCTTTTTTGCCTATTAACACAAATGTCTTTTCTTACTGATTTTTGAGAGTTCTTTATATATTTTAGATATAGCTCCTTTATTAGGTATGTAAGTGATGAAACAAATGGATATTTTTAAAAATGGGACTAGCTTTTTGGGCAACTATGTACAATTGTGAGGTAATAACCCTGCACCTTCACATTCTCATTATTTTCTTACTATTGTTTTAAAATTAGCTGACACTTTAAAAAGGCTTTCTATGAGTTACGCATTATGCTCGGTATTTACTTGAATGATTGCAGATATTTTCTTCCAGTCCATGTCTTCTTTTATATATATATTACATATTATATATAAATATATTATATATTATATATTATATAAAATATATTATATATAATATATTATATATTATATATTATATATAATATGTTATATATAATATATTATATATAATATATTATATATTATATATAATATATATATTTATTTTAAATATATATTTTAAATATATATTTATTTAAATATATATTTTAAAAAATATATTTAAAATTATATTTATATATAAATACATATTATAAAATATATAATATATATATAAAAGACATGGACTGGAAGAAAGTATCTGCAATCATATATATTTATATATAATATATGTATAATTATATATAATGTATATTATTATATATAAATTTATATTTATATATTATATATAATTATATATTTATATATTATATATAATTATATATTTATATATTATATATAATTATATATAATTATATTATTTTTAATTTTAGTTATTATATAAATTATATATATTTATATATAATTATATTATATATAAATATATAAAATTTTGTTTGTTTGTTTTTGTTTTTGTTTTTGGAGACAGAGTCTTGCTCTGTTGCCCAGGCTAGAGTGCAGTGGTGTGATCTAGGCTCACTGCAACTTCCACTTCCCTGGTTCAAGTGATTCTCCTGTCTCAGCCTCTGGAGTAGCTGGGATTACAGGCGAATGCCACCACGCCCAGCTAATTTTTTGTATTTTTTTCCGTAGAGATGGGGTTTTACCATGTTGGCCAGGCTGGTCTCAGAACTCCTGACCTCAGGTGATCCGCCTGCTTCGGCCTCCCAAAAGGCTGGGATTACAGGTGTGAGAGCAAAAGTTCTGCTCTTGAAGTAAAATTTATCATTTTTTTGCCACCATTTTTTCCATAGATCATGTTTTGGTCTAAGAAATCTTTGCTCAACCCAAGATTGCAAAGATTTTCTATGTTTAAGTGGATAAGTTTTATAGTTTTAAGTTTGAAACTTAGGTGTATAATCTGTTTGAAGAGTTTTTGTATGTGGTATGAGTTATGGGCCAAGATTATTTTTATCACGTGTATGTTCAGTTGTTCTAGCACCATTGGTTGGAAAGAATATTGTTTCTGTAGTGTTTTGCCTTTGTAATTTTGTCAGAAATGCCTTTGACCATAAATGTGTGGGTCTGTTTCTGGACTCTTTTCTTTCCATTGATGTATGTTTATCTTTTTGCTATTATCACTTTCTCTTGATTACTGGAGCTTTATAGTAAGTCTTTAAGTAGTGTGACTCTTCCAACTTTCTCTTTTCAGAATTGTTTGACTATTTTAGTTCTTTTGCCTTTTCATGTAAATTTTAGAAGCAGCGTTTCTATTTCTACAAAAAATAAATTCTGCTGGGATTTTGATAGGGAGAATACTGAATCTCCAGTTGAGTTTGGAAGAGAATTGATATCTCAACAATATTTAATCTTTCCATTCATGAACAGAGGATATCTCCATTTATTTAGTTCTCTCTGATTTCTTTCACATATACACACACATATATTCCTTCACATATACACATATATACATACACATATATGTATATACATATATGTGAAAGAAATCAACCTATATATTTAATATACAGAGTCTGTGTTTTGTTGGATTTGTACCTAAGTATTTCTCTTTTGTTATTTTGGATTTTTTTCCCTTGTCTTTTGGATTTTGCTTTATCATAAATGGTAGTTTTTTTTAAATTCAATTTTCAGTTGTTTGCCATACACAGTTGATTTTTGTATATTGACCTTGTATCCTGTGATTTTGCTAAATTCATGTACTAGTTCTAGTAGTTTTTGTTTTTGTCTTTGAGACGTTCTCGCTGTGTTGCCCAGACTGGAATGCAGTGGCACGATCTCAGCTCACTGCAACCCCTGCTTCCTGGATTCAAGCGATTCTCCTGCGTCAGCCTCCTGAGTAGCTGGAATTACAGGCATGTGCCACCACGCTTGGTTAATTTTTGTATTTTTAGTAGAGATGGAGTTTTGCCATGATGGCCAGGGTGTTCTTGAATTCCTGACCTCATGTGGTCTGCCTGCCTCAGCCTCCCAAATTTCTAGTACTTTTATTATAGATACTTAAGGGACTTTCTACACCATACATTCTGTGTCTAAATGAGGTTATTTTATTTTTTTCTTTCCTATTCGTTCGCCTTTTATTTCTTTTTCTTGCCTTATTGCACTGGATAGAAACTCCACTATGATATTGAATAGGAGTGCCTTGTTCCTGGTCTTGGGGTAGAATATTCCATGTTTCACCATTAAATATGATGTTACTGGTAGGATGTTTTGTTTTGTTTTGGTTTGGTTTTGGGGGGGAATCAGAGACAGGATCTCCTTCTGTTACCCAGGCTGGAGTGCAGTGGCACAGTCATGACTGACCACAGCCTTGACTTCCCAGGCTCAGGTGATTCTCCCACCTCATTCTCCCAATTAGCTGGGACTACAGGTGCATCCCACCACACCTGGCTAATTTTTTATAGTTTTGGTAGAGACAGAGTTTTAGCATGCTGCCCAGAATGGTCTTGAACTCTTGGGCTCAAGCGACCTGCCCCTCTTGGCCACCCAAAGTACTGGGGTTACAGGCATGAGCCACCATGCCTGGTGGGTTTTTTGGATGAACTTTATCAGGTTGAGCAAGTTCTTTTATTCCTAGCTTTCTGAGTTTTTTTTAAATCCTGATTGGATATTGAATTTTGCCAGGAAATTTATCTGTGTAGTCTATTGAGATAATTGTGCAGACCTTTTATTTCTCAATTTGGTGAATTACATTGCTTTCTGACTATTGAACCAGCTTTGCATTGGTGGGATCAACCTCAGTTGCTCATGGTGTATTTCCCTTTTTACATATTGTTGGTTTTGATTCTTCGATTTTTTTTTTTTTTTTTTTTGAGACAGAGTCTCACTCTGTTGCCCAGGCTGGAGTGCGGGGGTGCAGTCTTGGTTCACTGCAACCTCTGCCTCCCAGGTTCAAGCAATTCTCCTGCCTTGGCCTCCTGAGTAGCTGGGACTATGGGCATGCGCCACCATGCCCGGCTGATTTTTTTTTTTTTTTTTTCATATTTTTAGTAGAAATGGGGTTTCGCCATGTTGGCCAGGCTCATCTCAAACTCCTGACCTCAGGTGATCCCCCCCGTCTTGGCCTCCCAAAGTGCTGGGATTACATGTGTGAGATTTTTTAAAAGACTTCTGCATCCTTATACATGAAGAATATTGATCTGTAGTCTTCTTATACTGTCTTTGTTTTAGTATCAGGGAAGTGCAATTAATGGCCTCATTAATTGATTTTATTAATTTAATTTGATTTTTCTCTAAGTGGTTGTATAGAATTGATGTTATTCTCTTAAATTTTGGAACAATTTGCCAGTAAAACATCTGGCCTCAGATTTTTTTTTTTTTAGTGAGAGGCTTTAAACCATGAATTCATTTTTATTAGTAGTCATATGTTTACACAGCTTATCTATTTCATCTTAGGTGAGTTTCAAGAGTTTGTTGCTTTTGAGGAATTTTGCCACTTCACATAAGTTGTCAAATTTGTGTGTGTAGAGTCATTCATATTATTATTGCTTTATTTACTCTTAGCATTTGAGATGTCTGTAATGATATTTCTGCTTTCATTCCTGATAATGTTTTGATTTGTG
Source organism: Homo sapiens (assembly GCF_000001405.40). Lineage (NCBI taxonomy): Eukaryota > Metazoa > Chordata > Mammalia > Primates > Hominidae > Homo > Homo sapiens. The sequence continues at coordinate 84,460,858 of NC_000010.11, forward strand.
CTTTCTTTTTTGCATTTTGGCAGTTTTGCTAGATGTCTAGCAATTTTCAAAGAAAGTGTTTTTAGTTTCATTGATTTGTTTGTGTTTTTTAATTTTCAGTTTCATTAATTTCTGCTCTTGATTATTTTCTTCTTTCTGCTTGTTGTACATTTATTTTGCTCCAGTTATTGATTTGACACCTTTGTTTTAATAAAAGTATTTCATTCTATAATTTTCCCTTATCACTCTGCTTTAGTTGCATTCCACAAATTTTGGTATGTGGTGTCTGTTATTTTCCTTCAATTCACAATATTTTCTTGTTTTTCTTGAGACTTCTTCTTTGACCCAAGGATGATTTAGAAGGTTGTCTACTTTTCAAGTGTATGGAGATTATCTTTCTGTTATTAGTTTCTAGTTAAATTCTCTTATATTCAGAGAGCATATGTTTGGTGTATTTTTAGTTCTTTTAAATTTGGTTTCTCAAATCTGTAGGTTTGTGTCTTTCACCAAATTCGGGGTGTGTTTATCCATTATTTCTTGAAATATTTTTTCTGCCCACCCCTATCCTTCTGTGACTTCAATGACAGGAGTGTTAGCTCTTTTATTACTGTCCGCATATGTTCCTGAGCAGGCTCTGTCAATTTTTTTTGACCAATCTTGTTGCTCTTCATCATTCAGATTGGATAATTTTTGTTGATCACTCTTTAAGTTTATTGTATAATCTGAAATGCTAGTATTTAGCCCATCAATAGTGCATTTTAAAATTTTGGTTTTTGACTCTTTTCAGGTCTAAAATCTCCATTTGTTTCTACTTTTTATATTCTGTTTTTTTTTTTTCCCCCTGAGATTTTCTCTTTGTAGTCCCTTCAAGAGTTTATTCTTTTGGAGAATTTTAATAACAGCTCTGTTAAAATCTCTTCCAGTTCTACCTTCTGTGTCATTTTGGTGTTGGTGTTTTTTGATTGTCTTTTCCTTTGTGAGTTGACATTTTCTCCTCTGTTTAGATGTTGAGTAATTTTGGATTATATATTAGATATTTGAACGTTGTATAATGAGATTCCTGATCTTCTTTAAATCTTTATTTTATTTTGTTTTTAAACAGGCAAACAATGTGGTTGAGTTTAGGCTACAAGGTACAGCTAGCTGTCTTGATTGTGGTTTTAATGCCAGCTCTGTTTTCAAAGCTTTTGCCATGCTTTCCAGATCTGTTCTGAGTATACATCTTCCAGAGGCTAGTCTGGGACCTGGGAAGTGATCTTAGGTTATTTTTCAAAGTCTTTGCTATGCTGTTTAGGATCAGATCCAAGCAAGTGCTGCTCAGGGATGAACCGATGAATTTACAACAGCTTTATGGAGCTACTTTACTCAGTTCCTGGTATTTTGTGACCTCTGGTATTTTCTGTTTTGCTGGACTTCTCTTTTTTCCTCTATCCTTAATGCTGTTGTTTTATTTTTTCTATTCTGCTGTACACTTCCCACAAGTGCACCTGCATTTAATGCAAAGCAGTATGTGCTTGTGTTGTCTCATATTCCTTGGGGTTCCTGCATTGCAGTTGGGAAGAAGACATTTAGATATTTGGAAATAATTCAAATTTTACAGTCTGTCTCTCTTCTCAAATATACTTGTAGGTAGGACTGGCGATGCTTTTATATGTCTAGGCAGTAATAACGGAGATGAACTTTTTACTGAGATGAGTCCTGTAAAACTCACTTTACTTTCTTTATTTCTTAATTTTTAAAAATGTGTTCCGAGAATATTGCTATTCATTAGAATGTTGCCTATGTTCTTAGATCAAAGTCTTAATGTCCATTTGACACCACCATAGAAAAGTAATTTATCTATGCTGGAAATTTGGCAAACACTTACTCTCTTGACTGTCAATCAGCATTACCTTTTGAACTGCCCTAAATACACATTTAGAAATTCTGGGCCCCATCCCTAGAGATTCTGTGTCAGTGGGTATACAGTACAATAAATTAAGAAGAAAATAACCTGCATGCTCACCTCCCCTATTGTAGACATTATCCATGGTATGGGAGAACCAGAAAAGATATATCTGAGGAAGATTGCAATGTTATGTTCCTTGAAGGTTGCTGGTTCAGTCACTGGGTTTACTGAGGCAGCCAGGAATCATGAACAAATAAGGTGTTGAACCTCAGTTGTGCTGCCTTAGTCAGGGGCTCAGTCCTGATCAAGGTAGCACGTCATCCAGTTATATTCTTCACTGGTTCATTTTTCTTGAGGCTGTCTTTCTGAACCATTGAGCATGTGGTTTCTTAGTACTAAACCAGTTCAGCAAAGGGTGGAACTTAGTATTGTCATCCTATTTTATTTATAATGTTTTGGAACAAAAATCTTTATTTCAGCCTTTTTTGAGGCATGAGATACATCCAGTAAAGTGGTTAAGGTGTACCAATCTTAAGTGTACAGCTCAAGCTTTTCATATGTATGTTTAACTACCGTACACTCAGGACATAGAACATTTCCAGCTTCCTACTAGGTTCCCTAATGTTCCTTCTTAGTCAGTAACCCCCTTCCCTTTAGTCTACCATCATTCTTCTGATTTCTAACACCATAGATTAGTTTTGCCTTTTCTCAGACTTCATATAAATGGAGTTATGTGATATATATCCTCATGTAGCTAGTATTTTTAATTCAGTTATTTTTGCTGCTAAGCCTTACTGGGTTACTTAATATTATTGTTTATGGCTCCTTGGTACTCAAAACATGTCTAAACCAAAGCAGATTCAGTTGACCTTTGTTTTACACTTTTCCTAGGTGAAACAGTCTTAAAATTCTTTAGGAAATTTCTCATAATGCTTAATGGTTCTGTATTTCAGCCGCTTATATAGTATCCGTTATTTACTTCCACAGATTATTCTTGCCGTAGCTCCCTTTTTTCTTCTTCCACATTTCCTTCTAACAGTATATATAGGGGAAATGAAGATTTCTAAAATTTTGTCTCCCATTTGTTCTTCACCATGCTAGCATTTGGTCTTCACCATGCTAGCATTTGGTCTGGGTAAATTCAGGTTGAACTGAATGTCCACAATTACTATATTAATCTAGTGTTTTTCTTCCCTTCTTTCTGACAGCATGATGGAAGTGGTTCATTGCATGATATTCAACTGTCATTGCCATCCAGTCCAGAACCAGAAGATGGTGATAAAGTATATAAGGTATGACTATGTAGTCATGCTGGATTTTTCAAAATTCTTTTTAAATACTAAAATAATGATACAATGACAATGAAAACAATAATAAATGTATTAATACCTAAAGCATCAGGTTTGTTCTTAACTTTTGCTACTTTGTTAAGTTGAAATGATATCTCTGTGGTGCTTTAATTTGAATTTATCAGTTGGATAATGATCTGTCCTTGTATTACTACTGTTGCAGGATTTAAAAAGAAAATATATTGCTCATAATGATAAATGATAAGAGTTTTTAAAATATGAGTAGGAATGAAAGTTAAAATGGTTATAGGTGCTTCTCATATATAAATCCCAAAATTGAAGAAGTATACTGAAAATGAGATTAATTTCTTTTTTCATGTTTAAAAATACAGAATACAGATGTATTTTTGTGAGTGAAAGTGTTTTTTTATAATTCTTATTTATGTCTATTTTTAGTTGAAGAAAACTCTTTTATTTTGCAACTATTTAAGCACATATTTATTTCTTAAGCACACACAGAGATTCTTGGTTAATTTAATGTTTCCAAGTCAAGTTATAGTTAGCTTTTACATCCCATTTTCAGGGTACACTTATTAGTGTTTGCTAGTCATCTACAGTAACAACCTGAAAGCAATGGTGGCTTATAATAATGAAATTTATATTTCACTTACATATTGGCTGTAGATCAGCTGGGACTCTGCTTCATGTGTCTTCCTCATTCTGGGATCCATACTGAGACGGATCAGCCCCTATTGTGGGACATGTTATTGTGCCAGTGGGAAGAGAACTTTGATAGGATCACATGTGAATTCTGCTTGGATGTGGCACATATCACTTTCAAAACAATTCAAGGGGCCAGGCCTGGAATTAATAGGGCAGAAAAGCATTATTTGCTCGTAGGTTGCAGAGTGATTTATTGGGAAGAAGATTGTATATAAAGCAATCAAAATCATAAGAGTATAGTACAGTAGTCAATCTCATTCTCTCATCTTGGCTTTTCAACTTGTTGACTACCTGTCCTTGCCCAGATTGCTTCCCAACCCTGAGCTTTCATCCTACTCTCAGTATAATACATTAAGTCAGCAGGTTCACAGCAGGCCATCTCTTAACACTCAGTTGAGAACCATTGACTTAGGTAATCTCTGATGACCTCCCAGTTTAGAAAAAAAAAAATTGTGAATTTGTGACTGACATTTTAAAAGCAAAGTTGACCTCTTTCCTGAATTTGTGTGTGTGTGTGTGTGTGTGTGTGTGTGTGTGTGTGTGTGTGTGTGTGTGAAAAAGTTTTTTACATGTAAAGATTTTTTTTTTTTTTTTTTTTTTTTTTTTTAGACGGAGCCTTGCTCTGTCACCCAGGCTGGAATGTAGTGGCGCAATCTCGGCTCACTGCAGCCTCGGCCTCCTGGGTTCAAGCGATTCTGCTGCCTTGATTTCCCAAGTAGCTGGAATTACAGGCATCTGCCACCATGCTCGGCTAATTTTTTATATTTTTAGTAGAGATGGGGTTTCACCATGTTGTCCAGGCTGGTCTCGAACTCCTGACCTCAGGTAATCCACCCACCTCGGCCTCCCAAAGTGTTGGGATTGCAGGCATGAGCCATCGCACCCGGACAAGAAATTATGTTTTAAAGAAAAAAAATTAATTCCAACATTTTTACACAATTGGTATCTTTACTCTTTTCCAGTGTTCCTTTCTAGTTCATCTAAATATTTAATGCTATATGATAGACATTTTTTGCTTTTTTTTTCTTTTTTGAGATGGAGTCTTGCTCTGTTGCCTAGGCTGGAGTGCAGTGGCATGATCTTGGCTCACTGCAAGCTCAGCCTCCTGGGTTCACGCCATTCTTCTGCCTCAGCCTCCCGAGTAGCTGGGACTACAGGTGCCCACCACCGCGCCCAGCTAATTTTTTGTATTTTTAGTAGAGACGGGGTTTCACCGTGGTCTCAATCTCCTGACCTTGTGATCCGCCCGCTTCGGCGTCCCAAAGTGCTAGGATTACAGGCGTGAGCCACTGTGCCCGGCCATATGATAGACATTTTGTTACACAGTATTTATTTCTTGTCCCTGCTCCATTTCCTTCCAGGCAGATTATTCCTAGTCTTTCTTATTTAAGCTGAGTTGCAATAGGTCATACTTGTCTTTTCTTCAGTATTCTGGTCTCTTTTGCATTTTAATCAGCAAATCCCCAACTGTGTCACCTTTCATCCAAAATGGTTTAGCAGTGCAGTTTCAAATGACACAAATACTGCATCTCGTGCCATTAAAATTGTAGGATCTAAAGTCTCCATTGGACCTACCATGCCTCTAATCTATCCTTTTATTTAATCTCAGGACAGATCCCTCTCCCATTCCCTTAATGATCTCTTCCAAATAGCTCTCTCCAAGTTCCATGCTTAGCTATACTTCTCAACCTCTGCAGGTAGCCTTATGTTTGTTCATCCAGTAAATATCTTATGCTTCCTGCCTTCTTGCTTTCTTTTTTTTGTTTTTTTGGTTTTTTTTTTTTTTGAGACAAAGTCTCGCTCTGTTGCCCAGGCTGGAGTGCAGTGGCACAATCTCGGCTCGCTGCAAGCTCCACTTCCTGGGTTCATGCCATTCTCCTGCCTCAGCCTCCCGAGTGGCTGGGACTACAGGCGCCCGCCGCCACGCCTGGCTAATTTTTTTTTTTTTTTGTATTTTTAGTAGGGACGGGGTTTCACCGTGTTAGCCAGGATTTTCTTGATCTCCTGACCTCGTGATCCGTCCGCCTCGGCCTCCCAAAGTGCTGGGATTACAGGCGTAAGCCACCGCGCCCGGCCTCCTTCTTGCCTTCTAATTTATCTATATTTGTCTCATTCTTACTCCTTTGTTCCAGTTACAGGGGAAAAGTGTCCACTGTGCTATGGAAGATCAGCTCTTCTGTGTTCTTAACTCTTGTCTTCTGCTGTTGCTTAAGGACCTAACTGCATCTCTTCCTCCTCTCTCATCTGTCTTGAGTGCGCCTCCTCTACTTTCTTGTCATTATTTGTTTGTAAATGTGTATATCTCATTTAATTTCAGTAAATCAAATACACTTTTTCTTGACTCCTTTTAAACTCCTTTCCAGTTAGTGTGAAAACTTGGAACAATGAAAATAGCTACCATTTCAATGCTGTAGACGTTTGACATGACCTTTGTTTTAAAAGCTTTCTCCTTTGGCTTTTGTGTCACTTCTCTCTGGAATCCCTCATACCTTTCAACATTTTTTCCTGTAGGTTTCTCCTCTTCTTTAAATGTTAGATTTATATCTTTAGTCCAGTCCTCTTTGAACATCTTACTCTCATAATTTCAAATATGACATATATGGCTAACATGTAAAACTCCTTTCTTTCATGCTTGGTAATCCAGTTGCCCACTGGACACACTTCTATTGTATGTCCCACCCATAAGTACTTCTAACACAGACTCTCTCTCTCTCACCCCCCACATATGTGTGTGTATGTGTGTGTGTGTGTGTATTTGTATGTGAGATGTCTTAAACATTTTATTTATTTAATGAAAAAACTGATAACTGTTGAGCTCAGAAACCAATACCCCAACATACAGTACTTTGACATACTGAACTGAAGAAACCTCAAGATCTCTTCTGGCTCCATCATGTCCCCACCTCCCCCCTACTGCCCACCCACCTGTGTAACAATATATTTAAAATTCACACATATTCCTCTTTGGACATACTTGTTGTTCTTCTGTATTCACCATTTCTTTTGTTGGCGCAGCTATTCACCATGTCACTCAAGCTAGAAATACAGTGTCACCCTTGAATGCTCCTCTGTTCTTTTCTCACATGCAGTGAATTGCCAAAAATCTCAAAATTTTGATTTCTTCTCTCCCTTTTCATCTATATTATCACTCTCTTGGGTCAGGCTCCTACTCTTATCTAGATTATTATAATATTTTCATAAGTGCCTAGCTCAGTTTTCTTGCTGTTGTTAAAATTTGTCCTCTAAACACCTGTCAAAGCCATCTCAAATGCAAATCTGTCACTCCCTAGCTAAGGCCATGCGTGATAGTCATGGCTCTCTGTGATCTGGCCCTTGCATAGTTTACTAGCCAATTGCTTCTCAACATTAATCAGAACCTATGTGCAACAGCGACACTGCTTATACTTCTCCAGACGTGCTATGCTTTCCCTCACCTTTGTATTATATTGTATGGCACTTAGAATCCTTTAACTAAAATTCCAAGCCTACCACACTCCTCTATCTTCTGAATCTTGTGCTTATCCTTTGGAACTCCACTGTAGTCCCTCATTTCTGATGTGTGATGTCACTTCTTTGCCTATCTTTATATATAAAATCAGTGTTCCCAATGCAAAGAGATGATAAATGTTTGAGATGATGGAAATGCTAATTGCCCTGATCTAATCACTATAAATTATATGTGTCAAAACATTACTGTGTAAACCATGAATATGTACAATGTTATCTGTCAATTAAAAGTAAAATTAAAACAATGAAATGGTTTTGGTGGGGGAAAAAAATCCTTAGAGCAGTGCCTGCCATACAGCAAGTGCTATATACATGCTGGCTATTAATGTTCTTAGCACATTATTTGTTGATTTCATTTTTGGGTCCATTTCCTGTGTAACACAGTCCGAACCTACTGGTGACTGCATGAATGATGGCTATATAGTGTTCCATGAAGTTGCTACATTTTATTCCCGTTGTCCTCTTACAGGACAATTGTAAACTTGTTAACTTTCAGATAACACCTTGTTATAGGTTTTCTCTTTCTAAGGATCATTTCTTTCATATAGATTCCTAGGAGTAGGATAACTGAATCAGAGTGCAGGTATTTTGATGGCTCTTAAACATACAGATGTATATTTGTCCAAAAAGGTTAACTGCTATGTCTGATGGTGTGCCATTTTTTCCTGCAGTCTGGTTAATTACATTGGGTATTTCACCACTAACTTAATATTTATAAAACAATACTTTATTCAACAAGTTAAATACAACATTTTACCAGTTATATGTATATTTGTGAGAACTGGCTACTTGTCTGTTGAGGCCTTAAAAATGATCTTAAATGTTTAGACAGGCTGTTAATATACTTGAGATATAAATCCTCTGTCATATTTGCATGGATTATCAATAGCTTTTAACTAATGTTAATTGTTAAGGTGCCTTAAAATGTTATATAATTAAATATAAATCATTTCTTTTGAATAGCTATATTTGCTACATAACTTAGAAATGTGTCCTTCTAAATGTATTCTTAGAAATGTATCTTTCATGATCTGCAATCCATCTTTTTTGTCTTTATGAATTTTTATAATTCCTAAACTTAAAAACAAGTGGAGATTATCTTTTGTATGTAATAAAGTCTTTTTCAATTATAGTGTACATAATAGCATTTTAAAAATCTTCCACATTGTTTGGGATGCTTATGTGATATGTTCAAGGCTTTGTAAAATGTCTATTTCTGATCTCTTTGTTAAAGAGAATATATGTTTTTGTTCCCGATGTAGCTAAAGGGGATGACATTCTTTGCTTAGTTACAACACATCCTAATTATTTGCTTACTTGTTTTTCTCTCTGGAAAGATGTTATTCACATCTATATTTGAATTTCCTTGCTTATATTACCTTCTCTTTTGGATAACTGAATAATGAAACACAAACAACATGGGCTAACTATAGGGTAATGATTAACACTTTGGAAATGTAACTGGATTCCTGCTTAACTTGACAGTAGGTTTCCATTTAATAGTACTAGGCATTTCTTATAGATCCAATTGAGAAGGTGTTCTCTCTTTGATTCAGGAGGTACTCCTCAAAAAGTGGCTCATGGTCAAAGAATCTTCCTTGTTACCCTTCAGGCACATTTATCTTTTTTGCTGATTTGTAAACCAGCCATGAAATGCCTCTGTGCCTTTAATTATTCTATTGCCTCTGCTTCTCATGCCCTTTGTTTTCTTTCACAGGCTACTCTTATGTATCCCTTGAAGTCTAGCTGAAGTTGCTTTTTTGTATGTGATTTTTTTTTTTTTTTTTTTTTTTTACTCTGTGGCCTATGTCCCAGTTTTCTTATATGTAAAAAAGGATTACAGTACCTACCTCAGGAGTGTGGGTAGAATCAAATGCTTAAATAAGTGCAAGTGCTTAGTTTTTAACATCTAATAAGTTCTCAATGAATGCTAACTGTTGCTGCTACTATTGCTCATTGTCAACATGTCACACTTCATTACCGGATGAAATCTTAGATTTTTTTTTAATAGAGGATTTCCCCCCTAAATGACCAGATAGTTTGTTCATTACTGTGTCTTCATCATTGATTTCATGCCTCTCATTATGGTATTTTAAATACCTCATCTAAAGATTTTTTAATATTTCAGAATGAAGATTTATTAAATGAAATAAAACAACTTAAAGACGAAATAAAGAAAAAAGATGAAAAGATCCAACTATTAGAACTTCAGCTTGTAAGTATTGTAGTATAATGTATAGAGACTTTTCAAACTGGGTGAAATGTGTTTTTCATAAAACTCTGAGCCAGAAGTAGAGTTTAGCTTTATTTTTGGCTCTCAAAGTTGCACTTTTATATTATTTTTAGATTATATGCACTGTAATAAAAGTATGTGATTTAACTTTTAATCTAAATATTAAGTATTTGGTTTGGAAAATTCTTCATTGATTCAGCGACCTCAGTTTTGGGTATTTAAAATTTACCAATTTACATTCATTTTGTTGATACAAGGGTAAATGGCTTTTCTTCAGATATATTTAAAGAAACAAGTACTTGTGAGTTGAGAACAGGGTATTTTCTCTCTCTGTGAGCAGAATTAGCCTGGGTATTCAGATTTAGGTAGCTGCATCACTATCAGATTGAAGGGTACTCCAAGAAAATGTTTATTTCCTATGGATGCTATTGAATGATCCATCAGAGTCATGTTTGAATCTTCATAATCTAATAATTGTGCAATTTCACATATTAGTCTCATATGAAAACAATATGTATGGTGTCTTGAATTTAATTATTACTTAGTTTGTATATAAAAGACCATGATAAAAAGAAAATAATGGCCTAAAAATCACAACACTCAAAAGGAAATCTTTGTTGTGAGTCAAGAGCACATTTTGGTCTAACAAAGCAATTTGGTGAAATATTAATCTCACTGAAAATATAAAGGATATCATATACTGAGCTCTGAGCCACTGGGGTCAGCTCACGGAGATCCATTTCATGAATAAATAGAGCAGATAAATCAAATATTATGATTAAAGGAACAAAGAAAATTTATGAAACTGAATAAAAAGTAGCATAATATTACAAATTGAGGTCCTGTCACATACAAAATTAAAAAGGAAAATAATAAGGCCTAGTGTTTGTGTTCAAAGCCAAAGACAAGAACCCAATCAACTTTCAGGGAGAAGAAAAAAGACAACAAAGAAAATTATGTAAGCTTCGATTTTTACAAAAATATATTACAGAGCACAAGATATTGTGTCTTGTGCAATTCAGAAAAGAGGTTATGAACCTCCTATTTTATATCCAAGCAAGTTTTTATTTATATACAAAGGTAAATTCTGACCTTTAATGTCTTGACAGACCCAGTTAATACATTTCAGATATTTGAGAGGTAAATTGAAAAATAACTCAAGAATAAGGAGATAAAGATTAAAATGAATGAGCGGTGAAATGGAAACTAAGTGGTGTAAACTTCTGAGCCACTAGTTGGAGAAAACTTACTGCCCATTTTACCTAATGTAAATTACATATCATTCTAATGTTGGGATTTGTTTGGATTTATAAATCCTTAATTTTTCTGAAATTAAAAATTATTTTTAATTTTAAAATTTTAAGTTGCTATTAATTTTGGAAAATATTCAGATTAAATAAGTTTGAGGAAGAACATAAGGAATATGCTGAAGGAAGTTAGAAGTACTGAATTTTTTATCTTCTACAAATGAATATTCAACATTCTTAATTTTAAAAAATATACTTAGATAAATTATAATGTTTATGAAATGCTTTAAAGTAATTAGTAGGTTGGAATAAAGTATCTTGCAAAAGTTAAAAGTTAAAAAAAAGACGAAGTAGAAAAATAAGGAAAACTTAAAAACAGCATAAAACTAAAGTAATAGAAATTAGACCAAATATAACAAATATAATAGTAGTTGCAAATAGTCTTATGTCTTGGAGAGACTTTCCTTGAGGATCTAAAGCAAAATCCAGTAACTTGCTTTGTATAAAAAAAATTTAGCTAAAGGAAAATGGCACGATAAGGCTGAACATAAAAGATTGGGGGAGGCTGGGCATGGTAGCTCACTCCTGTAATCCGAGCACTTTGGGAGGCCTAGGTGGGTGGATTGCTTGAGGTCAGGAGTTCGAGACCAGCCTGGCCAACATGGTGAAACCCTGTCTCTACTAAAAATACAAAAAATTTAGCTGGTTGTGGTGGTTCACGCCTGTAGTCCCCAGCTACTTGGGATGCTGAGGCAGAACAATCACTTGAACCCAGGAGGCAGAGGTTGCAGTGAGCCAAGATCATGCCACTGCACTTCAGCCTGGGTGACAGAGTGAGACTCTGTCTTAAAAAATAAAATAGAAGACTGGGGGAGACAGAATAAAATTATTCTCATCAAAAATATTAGGATTGCAATAGTAAAATTAGAAAAGTAAATTTAAGACAAAGATTTATGTAAAAGGTCACTTTATATGGACATATGATAAATAATGAAAGATGAATCTTTTTATGCCGTGAAGTTTTGATAAAGTATTCTTTTAACCTCAGAATGTATCTTTAAAAAAATAAGAACAGGTCTCTTCATAGCTCAAATTATATTATTATCTCTAAGCAATTAATAGTAATTCCTTAACATCTTCTAATATCTAGTCCATACTAAGATTTTCTCAGTTGTTCCAAAAACATCCTGTACTTTGATGTCCCTAAACTAAAAGTCAGTCTAGGACTATGCACAACTGGTTATATCCCTTATATCTCTTTTAATTTAGAACTGTTCTTTTTTTTCTTTTTGTATTGATTTGTTGAAGAGACTGCACCAGTTGTCCTGAATAATATCTCATCTTGAAAATAATTTTTAGAAAGATTTAAGAAATATTGAAGAGCATCCTAAAGAAAGAAAAGTGAAAGCATTAATCTTTATCAGTAGGTACCTTGAAATTCTCTGTACTCGATATATTAAACCTAGTAATCATATTTGTCATAAAAGAGCCTGCCACCTGTTTTTCTAGGTGGTGTGCCTAGTTTTCCTGTGGATTGCTTGGGAAGCTGTGGTGTATTCAGCTAGAAATTCCCTCTGTAAACACATTAGAATCTCATTAGCATGTTTACAAATTGCAGAGGAGCTGTGGCCCCGTACCAGGAGAACTTCGTGATATTTTCTTTACAGTTCATGTAAAGGCTAATGTTAGTGTGGTTTTCTCAACATAAATTTAGAGGATTAGAAAAGATTCACTGCTTCTCATTGCAAGCAGTGATCTCTGTAAAGTGAATGCCTTAGTTTTAGGTGGCCAAGTATCCTTTTTATAGTAGAAAATTAGAAATCACTCAAAGATTTTAACAGTATAAGGTTTAGTTATAGAACTCGAGAAAGTCACTTGTTCAAACCAAGAGAGTTTTAACAGATACAAACCATTTGAAAACAAAGATAAGTAACAGTATTTTTCACATTATCAAATTAAAATCACCTATTAAAAAATTTTTTTTAACATCTCTATTCTTAATATAGGAAAAAAATCAGAAGAATCATAGACTAGGAATTAAAGGACTTGTTTCTAATTTAATTAGCTAAATGGCACTGACAGTTTCCATCACCTCTCTCTAGTGCTTTCTTTATCCAAAATGTGAAGGTTTTTCTAGGTGATTTCCAATTTCCCTTTCAGTTATAGCCTTCTATGCTTTTTTATCTTTTTAAAAAATATACATTCAACTCCAACCTATGTTTGCATGCAAACCTTCATAAAAATACGTTGACAGTATAAAGTGTTGAATTCAAAATATTCTGATTTAAAATCAGATTGCAGCGCTCTGAGAATTAACTGAAAGGCATAGAAGTTTAACTATTCAAACCTTACTAAAAAATGCTAAGAATGCCTGTTTATCTTTACTACAATACCATAGTTAAATAATAGTTCAGATACATTTCTCATTGACTCTTCAGAATAATCTTGGGAAATTGCTAGTGTAGAATTTCCTTTATGGGAGACACATTAGACAGTGGAACTCAGGTTAAGTGGGCTAGCAGTATAGTATATTTGAAAAACCAAGACAGACCTGAGTTCAGATCCTGACTTTGAAATTTATAGCCATGTTCTCTGAAGGGAGTTCTATAATCTCTCCTAAGCCCCTTCTGTTAGAGGATAATAAAAGTAGTACTGGGCTGGGCACGGTGGCTCATACCTATAATCCCAGCACTTTAGGAGGCCGAGGCAGGCAGATCACCTGAGGTCAGGAGTTCGAGACCAGCCTGGCCAACATGGTGAAACCCTGTCTCTACTAAAAATACAAAAATTAGCTGGGCATGGTGGCACATGCCTGTAGTCTCAGCTACTCAGGAGGCTGAGACAGGAGAATCACTTGAACCCGTGAGGCCGAGGTTGCAGTGAGCCAAGATCGCGTGCCACTGCACTCCAGCCTGGGCAACAGAGCAAGACTCCATCTCAAAAAAAAAAAAAAAAAAAAAAAAAGTAGTACTGACCATATAGGGTTATGATAGTTATGTTGTGATAGAACTACATAGTAAACTACTTAATGCCTGGTCCATGGATACATGATGAATAGCAACTCTTATATAAGCCCTAAATCACCCAGTGTAAATCAGTGCATATCTTATGATGTTTTAAGTTCCGAGTAAAAGTCCCTAACTAAAAGTGATTTTAAAAATAAAAACAGTTGTAAACTCAACAAGAAATTATGTAGGTCCCATCCATTTCAGTGGTTTCTTATTGGTCATTTGGCTGATTGATTAGGTTCCAGATCAGCTTTTTTGGAATCCTGTTGGCTGTCCATTCATGGTCACAAGATGTCTGTTGCTCTGTGTGTCACATTCTCACACAGTAATACCCAAGGATAGGTTAAGGGCCTATGATCTCCAGTGTCTGTTTTTAAAATCAACAAACCCTTTCTCAGATACCCTAGACTTTCCTGTTTGATTGGCTAGATTTGAGTTACTTGTCCCTTCCTAAGCATAGAGGAATGGGATTAATCACATTGGTTCAGACTAATTAAGTTCTAGCTCCTTGGGGTAAGAGATTAGGACACATTTCCCCAAATGTGGGACCAAATAGAAGGTGAGCATCTGTACAGTCTGTCAGCAATAAAGAAGGCAGATGGTGAGAAAATGATTTGGTTAGTCATTTTATATATGTTGACATGTCACTAGAAACTAGACTTTTCCAAATTTTGGAAAACTCATATATTTGCCAAATATTATTTTTCATGTGTGAGCATATAGACCACAGAAAATAAATCATAGACAGTCTGCTACTTAGGATTTTTTGATTATATGATGGTACAAAAGTGATACTCATTCAGTAAGCTCCTCAACTTATGACGGAATTATGTCCTGATAAACCCATTATAGGTTGAAAATAATCCCAAATCAAAAGTGTGTTTTTAGTAATATTATGAGTTTATCCAGGTGTGACCCCATTATAAATCAAAGAGCACCTGAATTTCTGGAATTGCAATAGGATGGAATAAGTAAAGTGTTTTCGTTACGATAGTGTTTTTAAATTATCTTTTCTGTTCCTCATATACCCCTCATATATGTTAAAAGTTGATCCTATTACAGTGAATTCCAAGAGACTGTAAATACTTGATTATATATTGAATTTGGGGGGTTATTTTGGAGTTAGAGTCTCACTCTGTCACCCAGGATGGAGTGCGGTGGTGCAATCTCAGCACACTGTGGCCTCAACCTCCCAAGCTCAGGTGATCCTCTCACTCAACCTCCCGGGTAGCTGGGACTACAGGCACATGCTACCATGCCTGGCTGTTTTTGTTGTGTGTTTTTTGTAGATACAGGGTTTTGCCTTGTTGCCCAGGCTGGTCTGGAACCCCTGGGCCCAAGCAATCCGCCAGCCACAGCCTCCCAAAGTACTGGGAGTACAGGTGTGAGCTACTGCACCCAGCCTATATTGAATTTTGTTTCAGTGACTGTCTCATTTGTTAGGAATGGGAAATATGTCTCTATGATAGACATTTTTGTTTTTAGATTTTATTTTGTATAAGGAAATTGTAATGATCTGATTGCAGTTAAGAAAAATTTTGAATATGGGTAAATATTATTAAAGTAGAAATGTATCATTTTAACCTGATGGAATAATCAAGAATTTTTTAGTTTCCTATGAGAAAGTATATCTACCTCCAGTGAGGTTGTTTAACAAATAATGTGGTTATTTTCTAGCTTGTCACTAAGGGTGAATTCTCTCTCTTTTTTTTTTTTTTTTTTTTTTTTTTTGAAATGGTGTCTCCCTCTGTCACCCAGGCTGGAGTGCAGTGGTGCAATCTGTGCTCACTGCAAGCTCTGCTTCCGGGTTCATGCCATTCTCCTGCCTCAGCCTCCGGAGTAGCTGGGACTACAGGTGCCCGCCACCACATCCGGCAAATTTTTTGTATTTTTAGTAGAGATGAGGTTTCACTGTGTTAGCCAGGATGGTCTGCTTCTCCTGACCTCGTGATCCGCCCGCCTCGGCCTCCCAAAGTGCTGGGATTACAGGCGTGAGCCACCGTGCCTGGCCGGGAGAATTCTTTTTATCAGTATTTTCATGATCTTTTTTGAAAGTGATGATTATTTGGGAAAGTTACTTTGTGTTATATAAATGAGTGTGCTTTGAGTGGAATCGTGTGGAGAAATCATTTGTGAACAGAAATGGTCAGATGGATCTTGTCAAAGGGCTGACACTCTTCAAAATATTTCAGTCCAGTAAAGTCAATACATCATGAAAGAGGCTTCATCACACTGCACATGAGAACAGACATCCTGACAAGTGGACTGGTGGTATTCAATGTCCAGCAGAGTCCCATTAAAATATGGATTTAAGAAACTGAGCTTTAGTGACTGTAGTACCATGACAGTTTAGGGAAATACTGTAAATTCTGCAGTTGTATTCTTTATATACTGAATATCCCTATATATTCTACATCCATATACTTAACTCTTTATATTGATATACATAAAATCATATATTGTATGTTTTATGGACAATATAAGAGATTGCCAAGGGTAATTTAGATTATTCAAAATTCTAACCTTACAGGCTGACTCTCAAACCCACTCCCTGAATAAGATGAGAGACCACTGAATAGACCTTATTGTTGGCTGTGATAACATTTTTTCTTCAAAAAAGTAGCCAGAACTATTTTGCCATGTGTGACTTTTTTGTTGATTTGGTTACATACCCCCTAAAAGAGCCCTGATTACCTCCTGTCATGGCTGTTAATTTTTTTTATAGGTAATTTAGTTTTGCTTGTCTCTTAGGTGTTTTATGTGTTTTCCTAAAGTTTCTCTTGTGTGTCTTGGTGTGTATATGCAGAATTAAACCAATGTAAAAATTTTGTGTTTTTGTTTAGGCAACTCAGCATATCTGCCACCAAAAATGTAAAGAGGAAAAATGCACTTATGCTGATAAATATACCCAAACACCCTGGAGACGAATTCCTGTAAGTAACATTTGCTCTTAGCCTCCTCTCCAGTCATTTGCTATTTTGATGTTTTATTTCACTCTTTTTACAGCAATCTCTAATGATTTTGAATCTGTCATGGCTGTTAATTTTTTTGTAGGTAATTTATTTTTGCTTGTCTCTTAGGTGTTTATGTGTTTTCCTAAAGCTTCTCTTGTGTGTCTTATGTAAGTGAATGTGCATTTTAATAGCTTTTTCATTCTACATACTATAGTTCATTTTATTTGCGTGTCTACTCTCCTCTTATTGCATGATTTATGAGAGTAGTTCCACATGCCTTAAAGGAAATAGCAGTCCTGTATGCAGTCATCCCACTTTAGCAGCATATGACACTTTGAAAATATATGATTTAGCATATTCCTTTTTTGTTAAAACTTTTCAAATATGTTTATTATAATTACTCAAATGTTGAGGGTGTTAGGAAATATAAATGCACGAAGATACAGACAATAAAAGTTATGTTTTAGGCAGAACTAGGGAATGGTTTATTTTAAATAGGAAGTAACTATGTATTCCATGCTTATTTGTTTTTCAAAAATGTTATATCTCAAAACATGTTTAGTGCTAAAAATACTCTATCATTTAATCTGAGTTCTCAGAACTTAGTGCAGGATGTGTGTGAGCCAGAGAATTATCATATGGACATTAGTCATTCTGCTGTTGTTTGGGGCCAGGTAGTAGACATTTCTTGTTAAGAGATTGCCTAATAAGTCAGCCTTGACTCTTTTGCCTTATATTTAGGAGTGGAATCCTAGTAACACAAAGGAACAGAGAAATATAATGGCTAATATAATCAGCAATTCAGTTTATAAAGCTTAGCCATAAGCCTTTAAAGTTTATAAAAGAGTTTTGTTTCTTTTCATCTAACAAGTATTTTTTTTGTGCTCTGTATAAGATACAATGGTAGGAATTAATTTATTCAACAAAAGTTTGATGATCCCCTTTCATCCCAGATATTTGGCTTTCAAACTAGAAGTGGGGAATTAGGGAAGGAAATACAGACAAATAAGGATTCCTCTGTTTATAAGTACTTCTTAAGAAATTGGGAATGCATTGATGTAGTTAAAGTGCTGTGTAAGTCTATAAGGTTCAAAGGATGTGGGAAAGTCTAGTTGAAAGAATCAAGGAGCTTGGTGAAGAAAATGAAGGTTGTGTTTGAATCATAGAAAGCAAAAGATACCAACAGAAAAAGATGATGTGATATTATTTAATGTCAAAGGCGGTGGAAGCTCATCTGTTTGCAGACAGTTGTTTAATAGAAGACCATGCCCCTTGCTTCTAGATGGAAGTTTGGGCTTTCCAGGTGTCTCCATTTACCCCATAGGGATGTTATGCCTTATAATTGTACTACTAAGAAGACTGGTGATTCCATTAAGCATGATAAGTTCCATTTTGCCATCCTCATGGAAGTCTTTATACCACCTCTGGCTCCTTCAGCCTCACTGTTCTGGAAACTGGATGTTAGTCTTCCTCCTCATCAGACAAAAGTAACTATAAAAAAAGTAACTATAAAAGTTACTATAGGAATCATCTGGCCAAATACCTTTGTTTTGTAGATAAGGTAGCAAAAGCTGGGGAGATTAACTGGCATAGCAAAGTTCCCATAATTAATAAGTGGCTGAGCTAGTACTATAACTTAGGACTCTTGACTGCTAGTTCTAGGTTCTTTTCCCCAAAAGCACATTGAAGAGCCTTTGAAGGAGAGTGGTTTGCTGCCAACAGCAGCAGAGCAAAAATTTGAATGTATTGAGATTTGTCCAAGGGGATTTTGTGTCACTTAATGGCTGCAAATAAGATCTCTGAAGTAGAGAATCAACAGGAAATAAGAGGAAGAAATATAGTAGTAGAAAAGGGGAAAGGAGGAAAAGCAGATATTCACTTGCTTATTCAGCAGATATTTATGTGCCTACTTCATGCCAGGCACTGTATTAATTTGGATGTGTAAATATAAAGAAGAATATAAAAATACATGTGTAAATATAAAGTTCCATCCCTCAAGATGCTTGTAGAAACCTCCAGTGTGCTTAAATGATAGTAAGCTCACTCTTTTTCTGCATGTGAAGAAGCTAAGACTAAGAAGTGACTTATGCAAGTGTTTACACAACTTGTATACAGCAGTCTTATTTTAGTTGCTTTTCTTTTGAATGGTTGCAGGAGGGTGAGGGGGCTAGAAGGAATAGAGAAGAGAAAAGGATCATAGCTCTGGGAAGGGAGGACAGAGGCTTAATCTTAGTGAGAGATCACAATAAGGACTTAACTTCCCTGAGAGGAAAAAAAACAGGTGCCCAGGTTTGCACTGCATGGTAGAAGACTTAGCAGTATACTGTGATAATCCATAGAAACATACTTGTATTTTAAAAGTTATTTAATTTATTTTGAGACAGGGTCTTGGTCTGTCACCCAGGCTAGAGTGCAATGGTGCAATTATGGTCCACTATAGCCTTGACCTCCTGGGCTCAAGTGATCCTCCTGCCTCAGCCTCCCAAGTATCTGGGACCACAGGTGTGCACCACCATGCCTGGCTAATTTTTTTATTTTTTGTAGAGACAGGGGTCTCACACTCCTGGGCTCAGGTGATCTTTTTGCCTCAGCCTCCCCAAATGCTGGGATTACAGACATGAGCCACCATGCCTGACCACATACTTGTATTTTAAATTACTGAGAAAAAAGTATTTTTGGTTGAAAAGGCATAGTTTCAGTAAGAGTGTAATAAGAAAACTCCTCTACAACCAAGTTAGTTTCAATCTAATGTGAGTACAAAGAAATCTTTTGACATATTAAATTATGTAAGTCATTTTCTCAATAGAAATAATAAAATTCAATACCTCTCATTAAAAGCATGAAAAAATAGAATACTAAGAATACTTTATGAGTAACCTGAGGCCAAAATATGTACGTTTAAAAGAGAAGTACTGTAAAGTGGATTTTTCCTTTCCTATTTTTATTGAGAGATAACGATATATTTATTCTATAGCAAATATAGAAAATAGAGAAGCAAAACAACTTAAGAAAAATTTAAAGTACTTAAATCATACAAGCCAATGACAGTCATTGTTAACATTTTATATATGGTCTTCCAGCCTTGTTTGGTGTTGTGTGTATATGTGTATGTGCCATCTGTCATCTCTATTTAGATGGGATTATGTTGTATATGTGGCATTTTAACCTACGTAGGTAGTGGTGATGGTGGTTGCTATTAATATTTGGTTTGATTTTTTTACTAAACCAAAATGAAGAAATGCATTACCTTTAATCAAGTTAAGGAATTAATTCCTTTACTGGATGGTCTTTGTAAGGTTCTTGAAATAAATTACTACAGTTTTTTTTCTGAAAGGTTTATACAGGCTTATACTACCACCAACTAAGTATGACCAGAAAGTGGCTTGGTGGCCGTGATGTTAGGTTGTGTGATTCAAGTGTTTGATGTCATTAGTTTATTTAAAAAAAGCCCCTGATATTTCCCTCCACAAACGAGGAAATACAAGGGCAGGAGGGTTACCCCTTGTGCCCCACACTATCATTTCAGGTGGTACTGGGAAGCCACTCCCAACTATTTATGTTATGACCATTCCTGTTATGTAATGTTTTCTTACCTTACAAATTCTTTCTTCCTCCTGGCCTGAAAACCATTTTATCATGCTATTTTCTGCATATATTCAACCTCAGCTTTTGTGTATATCAATACACAAAATTTTTTATATATTTTATATATATTGATTTTATATATATTGATCCTCAGAATTTTAGGAGTTTTTTTCTGCCTGTAGTAAAATTTGGCTTTCATGCTACAGGTGCTTTTGGTGTTAGAACTGTACTGATAAAGATCAAAACTGTTTGGGTTTGGTTTGGTTATTATTTGTGAGACTGAACCCAGCAAGGGAATAGTGGCTAGTCACCTGGTGGGTGCTCTTCATTTAGGGCAAGACAAAGGTTTCTACTACCGTAGGGAGTTGCCTAAGCCATGCTGTAGGCATAGTACAGGATGTTTTTAAGTATAAGTTTTTAAGAACAGTGTTTTCAGCATTGAGGACCAGAGTGTGAAGCACGTCTTAGTGGAGTAAGGGGTCTATCTTCTGCTTGGGAAAGCAATAATGTAGTGTTATAAACTCCCCTGAGCCTTGCATTATAAAAAGAGGGCAGCCATAGGACCGTATTCCAGAATTGAGAATGCCCTACTCTAGAGCGGCACAGTCCTATACAACTTTCTGTGCTGTCCATTGTAGTAGCCTGTAGCTACATGTGACTGTTGAGCACTTGAAAATGAAGGAAGAGAATTTTAAATTTTGTTTAGTTGTAATTAATTTAAATGTAAATAGTCACATGTAGCTAATTGACATCATTTTGGACAAAGCAGCCCTGGACCTAATGATATCTACTTACATGGATATGGAAAGCTACCTAGAACAATAAGTAAAGGGCAAGTCAGTAAAAGCAGTTTTCAGAAGAAATGAAGGAAAATAAAAAACATGGAGTTCAGATTTAGGTGGAGGAAAAAAGAGGGAAAAGAGATAAGAATGAGCCGTAAGAGCAGAAAATGATACTTCCAGAGGAAAGTGGGGCAATTATTTTTCTTATCTGAGGGGCAAAATACCCGGATACAATGGTGAAATGAGTAACGCGAAAAGAAGAATAACAATATGGAAGATGCCTAATCATTCACATGAAAATAGTTGATATTACTGTGAATACTGCTGGAGGTTGTTGGTTATGCGAGAAATCAAGATTCATTTTAAACATAAAAACTTACGAAACTATTTTTAAGCATAGTGTACAGATCCATGTACAAGCATATTCTTAAAAATTAGCATTATCTTGGACTGAATTTATTTTTATGTATTTCCAATACTGTTTTAAAAGCATTTAACATCAGTATTTAAAAATATGAATATTCTGCACGTTAAGTAAATTGTAAAATCTTATGATATGTACCTTTTGTAGTCCATTTGTTTGAACACCTCAAGTTAACCAGAGAAGCCAAAATATTAGAAAAAAGAAACATTTCTGGACTCATACCTTCAAATGCCTTATTACTTATCCCCTTGAATCTCTACGCAGGGAGAACAGGTTAGACCCAAAGGATCTACCTGACCTGTCATGTAATTACCTGACCTGGATTACTCTGAAAATTGAGTACATGAATACACAGACTGTTGTATCGGTATCAGTGTGAAAAGGTGCCTACAAGTTAAAATTCTGAATGGGCACAATTCGATCTAATGCTAATTTTCTCTCATATTTTTAAGAACTAACTCTGTTATATATAGCAAAGAGGCAAGAAAAGGTGATTTTATATACATTAAAAATGATCTGTTGGAATTATAGTACTGAATCAAAGATTAATCCATGTTACGGTATATATAAAAGATATGCATATGTAATTTATATAAGTTCAGCAATTGGAATATGGTCAGCATTGTCAACCACCCTTTTTGTGCTTAGAATTAGGTTTTTGGTCACAGCACTTTGGGAGGCTGAGGCGGGTGGATCACCGGAGGCTGGGAGTTTGAGACCAGCCTGACCAACATGGAGAAACCCCGTCTCTACTAAAAATACAAAAATTAGTCAGGCGTGGTGGTGCATGCCAATAATCCGAGCTACTCGGGAGGCTGAGGCAGGAGAATCACTTGAACCTGGGAGGTGGAGGTTGTGGTGAGCTGAGATTGCACAATTGCACTCCAGCCTGGGCAGCAAGAATGAAACTCTGTCTCAAAAAAAAAAAAAAAAGACTTAGGTTTTTGGGCCTCAGATATACTGGGTCAAGTATTTTCCCATCATAAATATTTATAAAATAGAAAAGGAAAAAGCAGAAAACTATCACAGTTACATCACAAAAATCACATCAAATGTTTATAATTTCCAAAGGAGACAGATTTTACCTAGTTTCTAGCAACCGTGGAAATTTATCAGCAAAGAACTCCACTCTATTTTTTCTTGCCTGAGAAATGGGATGGAACGCTAACCAAAAGACAGTGCAGGCAAACGATTTATCTTATGAATAATCTCCCCCAAATCCATTTTCTTAGACCATATTCTTTCCTGATTTGGAAATGGGCAAAATTATTGGTTAATTTTTATGTTGGAAAAATGTCAATTTTTTTTCTTTTCTTTTTTTTTTTTTTGAGATGGAATCTCTCTCTCTTGCCCAGGCTCAAGTCAGTGGCATGATCTCAGCTCACTGCAACATCTGCCTCCCTGTTCAAGAGATTCTCCCACCTCAGCCTCCCAAGTAGCTGATACCACAGGTGCATCCCACCACACCCGGCTAATTTATATATATATATATATATATATATATATATATATATATATATAATTTTTTTTTTTTTTTGAGACGGAGTCTCGCTCTGTCGTGATCCTGGCTCACTGCAAGCTCCACCTCCCGGGTTCACACCATTCCCCTGCCTCAGCCTCCCAAGTAGCTGGGACTACAGGTGCCCGCCACTATGCTTGGCTAATTTTTTGTATTTTTTTTAGTAGAGACGGGGTTTCACCGCGTTAGCCAGGATGGTCTCTATCTCCTGATCTCGTGATCCACCTGCCTCTGCCTCCCAAAGTGCTGGGATTACAGGTGTGAGCCACCGCACCCAGCCCTAATTTCTATATTTTTAGTAGAGATGGGGTTTCACCATATTGGCCAGGCTGGTCTTGAACTCCTGACCTCAGGTGATCTGTCCGCCTCGGCCTCCCAAAGTGCTGGGACCACAGGCATGAGCCATCCACCATGCCCAGCCAAATGTCCTGATTTTAAATTTTAATGAGCCCATTTATTTCTCTGGAGAGACGTTGCATGCATGTGTGCATGCACGTGTGTGTGTGTGTGTGTGTGTGTGTTTCAAAGGGAATTACTTCTTTGCTAAGGCCTTTTATTTGTATTCACTATTACTTATATTTTTAAATGCCACTAAAAGTATTTTTAGAGAAAATCACATATACATTGGTGTTTAAATAAGTGATATTTATGATCTGGTCATACAGTTATTTTTAAATTATTCAATGTTTTACTCAATATTAGACATTGGCCATGGAATACAGCCTGTGTTTTGATGATCTGAATGTTGACAGGAGCCATCTGTGTTGCTGAGACATTGTGTGGCATGCAGAATTTATGACAACACAAGAATTCTTTTATGTTTGTCATTTCTTCTATTTTTTTTTAAACATTAGTGCTGTGACTTTCTTTCATGTATACAGGTTAAACCAATAACCGAAAAAACATAATTGTTTCTTAAGGATACGAACAAATTAAATATGGATATTATAGCAGTTGAGTGGTTTATTGGTTGTAAGTTTACAGTTACCTAAATCTGTATTTTTCAATACCAGATACTAGAACTATAGAAGGCATTTTTGAAACTTTGTTTAAAGTATCCATTGGAAGAAGCAAAGTTTGCCTGTAGTGTAATTACAAAAGAGTGATAAGAAGTTGCAAAAAATGTGGAGATCTTTTTTATTTTTCAACCAATTTTCCACATTAGTTACATTTTACATAATTGTAGTACAATATCAAAACCAGGAAATTGACATTAGTGATGGTGTGTGTGCACGCTTCTGTGCCATTTTATAACTTGTGTAGTAACTGTGCCATTTTATAACTTGTGTAGTAATGATCATCATATTTAAGGTATAGAACTATTGTACCACCACAGCATTTTCCCATGTGTGGTACCTCTTTGCATTCTAACCATTCTCACTTTCTCTCACCATTCCTAACCTCTGGTAACCACTAAAACTGTTTTACATCTTTATAATTTTGTTATTTTCAGATTTTTTATAAATAGTATCTTACA
Organism: Homo sapiens; assembly: GCF_000001405.40. Taxonomy (NCBI): domain Eukaryota; kingdom Metazoa; phylum Chordata; class Mammalia; order Primates; family Hominidae; genus Homo; species Homo sapiens. The sequence goes on from NC_000010.11 coordinate 84,485,473, forward strand.
GTGTTGAACTTTGGAGCTTGGCTTTTTAAAACTAGCATAACACCCTGGAGATCCATTCAAGTAGTTGTGTGCATCAGTAGTTAGTTTCTTTTTATTGCTGAGTACTGTTCCATGATATGGGTGTACCACAGTTTAAATAAACTGTTCAAATAAATAATAAAGATGTTGATTCTCCCAATTTATGAATATGGTATGTCTCTCCATTAATTTAAGCATTTTTGATTTCTTTAATCAGCATTTTTCAGTTTTCAGAACACAGTTCACTACATGCTTTTTTAATTATTATTATTATTTAAGTTCTAGGATACATGTGCACAACGTGCAGGTTTGTTACATATGTCTACATGTGCCATGTTGGTGTGCTGCACCTATTAACTCGTCATTTACATTAGGTATATCTCCTAATGCTCTCCCTACCACCTCCCCCAACCCCACAACAAGCCCCGGTGTGTGATGTTCCCCTTCCTGTGTCCAAGTGTTCTCATTGTTCAATTCCCATCTATGAGTGAGAACATGCGGTGTTTGTTTTTTTGTTCTTGCGATAGTTTGCTGAGAATGATGGTTTCCAGCTTCATCCATGTCCCTACAAAGGACATGAACTCATCCTTTTTTATGGCTGCATAGTATTCCATGGTGTATATGTGCCACATTTTCTTAATCCAGTCTATCATTGATGGACATTTGGGTTGGTTCCAAGTCTTTGCTATTGTGAATAGTGCTGCAGTAAACATACGTGTGCATGTGCCTTTATAGCAGCATGATTTATAATCCTTTGGGTATATATCCAGTAATGGGATGGCTGGGTCAAATGGTATTTCTAGTTCTAGATCCTTGAGGAATCACTACACTATCTTCCACAATGGTTGAACTAGTTTACACTCCCACCAACAGTGTAAAAGTGTTCCTATTTCTCCACATCCTCTCCAGCACCTGTTGTTTCCTGACTTTTTAATGATTGCCATTCTAACTGGTGTGAGATGGTATCTCATTGTGGTTTTGATTTGCATTTCTGTGATGGCCAGTGATGATGAGCTTTTTTCATGTGTCTGTTGGCTGCATAAATGTCTTCTTTTGAGAAGTGTCTGTTCATATCCTTTGCCCACTTGTTGATGGGGTTGTTTGTTTTTTTCTTGTAAATTTGTTTGAGTTCTTTGCAGATTCTGGATATTAGCCCTTTGTCAGATGAGTAGATTGCAAAAATTTTCTCCCCTTCTGTAGGTTGCCTGTTCACTCTGATGGTAGTTTCTTTTGCTGTGCAGAAGCTCTTTAGTTTAATTAGATCCCATTTGTCTATTTTAGCTTTTATTGCCATTGCTTTTGGTGTTTTAGACATGAAGTCCTTGCCCATGCCTATGTCCTGAATGGTACTGCCTAGGCTTTCTTCTAGAGTTTTTATGGTTTTAGGTCTAACATTTAAGTCTTTAATCCATCTTGAATTAATTTTTGTATAAGGTATAAGGAAGGGATCCAGTTTCAGCTTTCTACATATGGCTAGCCAGTTTTCCCAGCACCATTTATTAAATAGGGAATCCTTTCCCCATTTCTTGTTTTTCTCAGGTTTGTCAAAGATTAGATGGTTGTAGATGTGTGGTATTATTTCTGAGGGCTCTGTTCTGTTCCATTGGTCTATATCTCTGTTTTGATACCAGTACCATGCTGTTTTGGTTACTGTAGCCTTGTAGTATAGTTTGAAGTCAGGTGGCATGATGCCTCCAGCTTTGTTCTTTTGGCTTAGGATAGTCTTGAAAATGCGGGCTCTTTTTTGGTTCCATGTGAACTTTAAAGTAGTTTTTTCCAATTCTGTGAAGAAAGTAATTGGTAGCTTGATGGGGATGGCATTGAATCTATAAATTACCTTAGGCAGTAAGGCCATTTTCATGATATTGATTCTTCCTACCCATGAGCGTGGAACGTTCTTCCATTTGTTAGTGTCCTCTTTTATTTCGTTGGGCAGTGGTTTGTAGTTCTCCTTGAAGAGGTCCTTCATGTCCCTTGTAAGTTGGATTCCTATGTATTTTATTCTCTTTGAAGCAATTGTGAATGGGAGTTCTGTCATGATTTGGCTCTCTGTCTGTTATTGGTGTATAAGAATGCTTGTGATTTTTGCACAATGATTTTGTATCCTGAGACTTTGCTGAAGTTGCTTATCAGCTTAAGGAGATTTTGGGCTGAGACGATGGCGTTTTCTAGATATACAATTATGTCATCTGCAAACAGGGACAATTTGACTTCCTCTTTTCCTAATTGAATACCCTTTATTTCTTTCTCCTGCCTGATTGCCCTGGCCAGAACTTCCAACACTATGTTGAATAGGAATGGTGAGAAAGGGCATCCCTGTCTTGTGCCAGTTTCAAAGGGAATGCTTCCAGTTTTTGCCCATTGAGTATGATATTGGCTGTGGGTTTTTCATAAATAGTTCTGATTATTTTGAAATACGTCCCATCAATACCTAATTTATTGAGAGTTTTTAGCATGAAGCGCTGTTGAATTTTGTCAATGGCCTTTTCTGCATCTATTGAGATAATCATATGGTTTTTGTCTTTGGTTCTGTTTATATGCTGGATTATGTTTATTGATTTGCGTATGTTGAACCAGCCTTGCATCCCAGGGATGAAGCCCACTTGATCATGGTGGATAAGCTTTTTGATGTGCTGCTGTATTTGGTTTGCCAGTGTTTTATTGAGGATTTTTGCATCGATGTTCATCAGGGATATTGGTCTAAAATTCTCTTTTTTTGTTGTGTCTCTGCCAGTCTTTGGTATCAGGATGATGCTGGCCTCATAAAATGAGTTAGGGAGGGTTCCCTCTTTTTCTATTGATTGGAATAGTTTCAGAAGGAATGATACCAGCTCCTCCTTGTACCTCTGGTAGAATTCGGCTGTGAATCCATCTGGTCCTGGACTTTTTTTGTTTGGTAGGCTCTTAATTATTGCCTCAATTTCAGAGCCTGTTGTTGGTCTATTCAGGGATTCAAGTTCTTCCTGGTTTAGTCTTGGGAGGGTATATGTGTCGAGGAATTTATCCATTTCTTTTAGATTTTCTAGTTTATTTGCATAGAGGTGTTTATGGTATTCTCTGATGGTAGTTTGTATTTCTGTGGGATCAGTGGTGATATCCCCTGTATCATTTTAATTGCGTCTATTTGATTCTTCTCTCTTTTCTTCTTTATTAGTCTTGCTAGCAGTATATCAATTTTGTTGACATTTTCAAAAAACCAGCTCCTGGATTCATTGATTCTTTTGAAGGATTTTTTGTGTCTATTTCCTTCAGTTCTGCTCTGATCTTAGTTATTTCTTGCCTTCTGCTGGCTTTTGAATGTGTTTGCTCTTGCTTCTCTAGTTCTTTTAATTGCGATGTTAGGGTGTCAATTTTAGATCTTTCCTGCTTTCTCTTGTGGGCATTTAGTGCTATAAATTTCCCTCTACACACTGCTTCAAATGTGTCCCAGAGATTCTGGTATGTCGTGTCTTTGTTCTCATTGGTTTCAAAGAACATCTTTATTTCTGCCTTCATTTCGTTATGTACCCAGTAGTCATTCAGGAGCAGGTTGTTCAGTTTCCATGTAGTTGCACAGTTTTGAGTGACTTTATTAATCCTGAGTTCTAGTTTGATTGCACTGTGGTCTGAGAGACTGTTTGTTATAGTTTCTGTTCTTTTACATTTGCTGAGGAGTGCTTCACTTCAACTCTGTGGTCAATTTTGGAATAAGTGTGATGTGGTGCTGAGAAGAATGTATAGTCTGTTGATTTGGGGTGGAGAGTTCTGTAGATGTCTGTTAGGTCCGCTTGGTGCAGAGCTGAGTTCAATTCCTGGATCTCGTTGTTAACTTTCTGTCTCATTGATCTGTCTAAGGTTGACAGTGGGGTGTTAAAGTCTTTCATTATTATTGTGTGGGAGTCAGAGTCTCTTTCTAGGTCTCTAAGGACTTGCTTTATGAATCTGGGTGCTCCTGTATTGGGTGCATATATATTTAAAATAGTTAGCTCTTCTTGTTGAATTGATCCCTTTACCATTATGTAATGGCCTCCTTTGTCTCTTTTGATCTTTGTTGGTTTAAAGTCTGTTTTATCAGAGACTAGGATTGCAACCCCTAACTTTTTTTTGTTTTCCATTTGCTTGGTAGATCTTCCTCCATCCCTTTATTTTGAGCCCATGTGTGTCTCTGCACATGAGATCGGTCTCCTGAATATAGCACACTGATGGGTCTTGACTCTTTATCCAATTTGCCAGTCTGTGTCTTTTAATTGGAGCATTTAGCCCATTTACATTTAAGGTTAATATTGTTATGTGTGAATTTGATCCTGGCATTATGATGTTAGCTGGTTATGTTGCTCGTTAGTTGATGCAGTTTCTTCCTAGCATCGTTGGTGTTTACAATTTGGCATGTTTTTGCAGTGGCTGGTACCAGTTGTTCCTTTCCATGTTTAGTGCTTCCTTCAGGAGCTCTTTTAGGGCAGGCCTGGTGGTGACAAAGTCTCTCAGCATTTGTTTATCTGTAAAGTATTTTATTTCTCCTTCACTTATGAAGCTTAGTTTGACTGGATATGAAATTCTGGGTTGAAAATTCTTTTCTTTAAGAATGTTGAATATTGGCCCCCACTCTCTTCTGGCTTGTAGAGTTTCTTCTGAGAGATCCGCTGTTAGTCTGACGGGTTTCCCTTTGTGGGTAACCCAGCCTTTCTCTCTGGCTGCCCTTAACATTTTTTCCTTCATTTCAGCTTTGGTGAATCTGACAATTATGTGTCTTGGAGTTGCTCTTCTCGAGGATTATCTTTGCGGCGTTCTCTGTATTTCCTGAATTTGAACATTGGCCTGCCTTGCTAGGTTGGGGAAGTTCTCCTGGATAATATCTTGCAGGGTGTTTTCCAACTTGGTTCCATTCTCCCCGTCACTTTCAGGTACACCAATCAGATGTAGATTTGGTCTTTTCACATAGTCCCATATTTCTTGGAGGCTTTGTTCATTTCTTTTTACTCTTTTTTCTCTAAATTTCTGTTCTCGCTTCATTTCATTCATTTGATCTTCAATCACTGATACCCTTTCTTCCAGTTGATCAAATCGGCTACTGAAGCTTGTGCATTCGTCACGTAGTTCTCGTGCCATGGTTTTCAGCTCCATCAGGTCATTTAAGGACTTCTCTACACTGGTTCTTCTAGTTAGCCATTCATCTAATCTTTTCTCAAGGTTGTTACCTTCTTTGCATGGGGTTCGAACTTCCTCCTTTAGTTTGAAGAAGTTTGATCTTCTGAAGCCTTCTTCTCTCAACTTGTCGAAGTCATTCTCCGTCCAGCTTTGTTCCATTGCTGGCGAGGAGCTGCGTTCCTTTGGAGGGGGAGAGGTGCTCTGATTTTTAGAATTTTCAGCTTTTCTGCTCTGTTTTTTCCCCATCTTTGTGGTTTTATCTACCTTTGGTCTTTGATGATGGTGACCGACAGATGGGATTTTGGTGTGGATGTCCTTTCTGTTTGTTAGTTTTCCTTCTAATAGTCAGGACCCTCAGCTGCAGGTCTGTTGGAATTTGCTGGAGGTCCACTCCAGACCCTGTTTGCCTGGGTATCAGCAGCGGAGGCTGCAGAACAGCGAATATTGCTGAACAGCAAATGTTTCTGCCTGATCATTCCTCTGGAAGCTTCGTCTCAGATGGGTACCCAGCCGTGTGAGTTTTCAGTCTGCCCCTACTGGGGGGTGCCTCCCAGTTAGGCTACTTGGAAGTCAGGGACCCACTTGAGGAGGCAGTCTGTCCATTCTCAGATCTCAAACCCCATGCTGGGAGAACCACTACTCTCTTCAAAGCTATCAGACAGGGACATTTAAGTCTGCAGAGGTTTCTGCTGCCTTTTGTTTGGCTGTGCCCTGCCCCCAGAGGTGGAGTCTACAGAGGCAGGCAGGCCTCCTTGAGCTGAGGTGGGCTCCACCCAGTTCGAGCTTCCCGGCCACTTTCTTTACCTACTCAAGCCTCAGCAATGGCAGACACCCCTCCCCCAGCCTTGCTGCCACCTTGCAGTTCAATCTCAGACTGCTGTGCTAGCAATGAGGGAGGATCCATGGGCGTGGGACCCTCCGAGCCAGGCACAGGATATAATTTCCTGGTGTGCCGTTTGCTAAGACTGTTGGAAAAGTGCAGTATTAGAGTGGGAGTGACCTGATTTTCCAGGATCCGTCTGTCACCCCTTCCCTTGGCTAAGAAAGGGAATTCCTTGACCCCTTGTGCTTCCCGGGTGAGGGGATGCCTCGCCCTGCTTCCACTCACACTCTGTGGGCTGCATACACTGTCCTGTCCCCACTGTCCAACAAGCCCCAGTGAGATGAAACTGGTACCTCAGTTGGAAATGCAGAAATCACCCCTCTTCTGGGTTGCTCACGCTGGGAGCTGTAGACTGGAGCTGTTCCTATTCGGCCATCTTCTTTGGTGTAATCTACATGCTTTCTTAGATTTCTTTCTGGGGTGGTTATAAGTGATACTGTTCGTTAAATTTCACTTTCCCTGTGCTGATTGCTGATACTTAGAAAAAAAATTGATTTCTGGGCCATGTGCGGTGGCTCATGCCTGTAATCCCAGCACTTTGAGAGGCTGAAGTGGGCGGATCACGAGGTCAGGAGATGGAGACCATCCTGGCTAACACAATGAAACTCTGTCTCTACTAAAAATACAAAATATTATCCAGGCATGGTGGCGGGCACCTGTAGTCCCAGCTATTCAGGAGGCTGAGGCAGGAGAATGGCATTATCCCGGGAGGTGGATAATTGCAGTGAGCAGAGATAGCGCCACTGCACTCCAGCCTGGGTGGCAGAACGAGACTCTGTCTCCAAAAAAAAAAAAAAAGAAATAAAATTGATTTCTGTATATTGACCTTGTATTTTGTGAACTTAGTAAACTCACTTATAAGTTTGGAGAGTTTTTCTGTAGTTTGGGGTTTTCTATGTTGACCATTATGTCATCTGTAAATAGTAACAGTGTTCTCACTTTTTGATCTGATGTCTTTTATTTCCCTTCTTTGCATTATGTCACCAGCTTGGATTTTCATTACTATGTTGAATAAGAATTATGAGAATGGGCATTCTTGCCTTTTTCCTAATCTAAGGGGAAAAAGCATTCAGTCTTTCACCTTTGGGTAGATGTTAGCTATCGATATTTGGGAGATGGTTTTTATCAAGTTGAAGTAGTTTCCCTCTATTCCTAGATTGCTAAGAGTTTTTATCATGAATATGAGTTGGATTTTGTTACTTTTGTTTTGGTAATTGCTATGAACCTATGAGTTTTCTTCTTTAGCCTGTTGATTGCACTGATTGATTTTCTAATAGTAAACTAATCTCATAGGCCTGAAATAAACCCCCTTTAGTCATGGTATGTAGTTCTTTTTATATATTCCTGAATTCTAGTTAGTAGTATTTTGTTAAAGATTTTTACATCTGTATTCTGGGGGTTAATGCTTTTTATTCTTTATTTTTCTTTTGTTGTACTGTCTTTGTCTGCTTTTGTATTAAGTTAAACCTGGCCTCATAAATACTTTGGAAGGTGTTTTCTTCTCGTCTGCTTTATGGAAGAGATAGTGTAGAATTAATGTTTAATTCTTCTTTAAACATTTAGTAGAATTTAGCAGTAAAATTATCTGGGCCTGGAGATTTCTTTTTTGGGAGTTTTAAAGTTATAAATTCAACTTCTTTAATAGTTATTGACCTATTCAAATGACTTCTTTCATCTTGGATGAATTTTGATAGTTTGTGGTTTTGAGGAATTGGCCCTTTTTCTCAGTTGTCAAATATATGACTGTAAAGTTGTTCATAATATTCCTTTATTACCTTAATGGCTGGAGGGTCTGTAGTGATATTCCTTATTTCATTCTGATTTTGGTAATTTACCTTCTCTCTTTTTCTTTGTCAGTCTTGCTAGTGGTTTGTCAATTTTACAGATCTTTTCAAAGAACCAACATTTTGTTTTCTTGATTTTCTCTGTTTTTCTATGTTCAATTTCAAGGATCCTGCTCTTTTATAGTGAAAGTGAGTTTATTAGAGAAGTAAAGAAACAAAAGAATTGTTACTCCATAGACAGAGCCCTGAGGGCTGCTAGTTGGCTATTTTTAATGGTTATTTCTCAATCATATGCTAAGCAAGGGGTGGATTATTCATGAGTTTTCCGAGAAAGGAACGAGAATTTCCCAAAACTTTAGGTTTCTCTTCCTTTTAAACTATATAGGGCAGCAGTCCCCAACCTTTTTGACATCAGGGACTGGTTTCATGGAAGACAACTTTTCCACAGATGGGGAGAGGGTTGTGGGAGCAGTGTGGATGGTTTCAGGATGATTCAAGTGCATTACATTTATTGTGCACTTTATTTCTATTATGATTACATTGTAATATATAATGAAATAATTATACAACTCACCATAATGTGGAATCAGTGGGAGCCCTGAGCTTATTTTTATGCAGCTAGATGGTCCTGTCTGGGGGTGATGGGAGACAGTGACAGATTATCTGGCATTAGATTATCATAAGGAGCAAGCAACCTAGATTTCTCGCATGTGCAGTTCACAATAAAGTTCCTGCTTCTGTGAGAATCTAATGCTGCTGCTGATCTTACTGGAGGCAGAGTTCAGGTGATAATGCAAGCAGTGGGCAGTAGCTGTAAATACAGATGAAGCTTCAACTCAACTGGCCTGCTGCTCACCTCCTGCTGTGTTGTCAGGTTGCTAATAGCCCATGGATTGGTACTGGTCCGTGGCCCAGGGGTTGGAGACCCATGATGTAGGGTAACTTCCAGACATTCCGATGGCATTTGTGAACTGTCAGGTGCTGGTGGGAGTGTCTTTTGGCATGTTAATTTATTATAATTAGCATATAATGAGCAGTAAGGATGACCAGAGGTCACTTTCATTGCCATCTTGGTTGTGGTGGGTTTTGGCCAGCTTCTTTACTGCAACATGTTTTATCGGCAGGGTCTTTGTGAACTGTTATCTTAATGCCAACCTTCTCATCCAGTGACTCATCCGGTGACTGAGAATGCCTAACCTCCTGGGAATGTAGTCCAGCTGGTCTTATCCTCATTTTACCCAGCCCCTGTTCAAGATGGAATTGCTCTGATTCAAATGCTTCTATTTCCCCCTCCCCTTTACAAGGGGACCCTTAATCCTAAAGGTTGTAGAGGGACCAAGATCCATCTTCTGTAGTATCCTTTGGCTTAATAGGGGTGATGATATTCCTTCCTAACTTGTAGGGTCTCTTGTATTCAAGGTAGAGTGAAGCGCAGTCATAAAGCAGCTATGTGGTGAAAGCCATTCATAACTCTGAGTCCTGACAAAAGGCGATATTTGGGAGACCAAAGTATTATCTGTTCATGGTTCGTTATGGAATATATTACCGGAAAGGGGTCTGATCCAGACCCCAAGAGAGGGTTCTTGGATCTCACACAGGAAATTTTGGGTGAGTCCACAGAGTAAAGTGAAAATGAGTTTATTAGAGAAGTAAAGAAACAAAAGAATGGTTACACCACAAAACTGCTGATGTCTGCTTTTTTTTTTTTTTCTTTCTTCTTACTTTGGGTTTATTTTGGTCTTATTTTCTCTAGTTTCTTAAGACATCAGTTTAGCTTATTGATGGAATTTTTTTCTCTTTTCTGTCTCTACTTCAGCTGTTTCCTACATATTATATATTTTTTCAGCTGTTTCCTATACATTATGTATTTTCTTTTGCATTCAGTTTGATATGGTTTTTTTTTTTTTTCTCTTGAGACTTCCTCTCTGACTGACCCATGGATAACTTAGGGGTATGAATGTTAGTATCCAAGTGTTTGGACATATTCTTGTCATCTTTCTGTTATTGATTTCTAATTTGATCCCATTGTGGTCAGAGAACACATTCTGTATAATTTCAATATTTTAACTTTGTTGTGGTTTGTCTTGTGGCCCAAACTATGGTCTGTCTTGGTAAATGTTCTGTGGATTCTTGAAAAGATTGCTTTTTGCTATTGTTGGATAGAATATTCTGTAAGCATTGACTAGGTGCTGTTGTTAGTGGTGTCCTTGAGTTTTATGTCATTGCTGATTTTCTTGTCTAGTTATTTTTATCAGTTGTTGGGATGGGGTGTTGAGCTCTCCAACTGTAATTGTAGATTTGGCGATTCTCTCAGTTTTATGAGATTATGCTTCAGCTACTATACGTTTCTGCAGTTTGGTGTGCTGTTAGGATCACTGTGTCTTCTTGGTAGATTAACCTTTTTATCATTTTGTGAGGTCTCTTTCTATATGTGGGTATTCTTTTTGCTCTGAAGTCTATTTGATAATAATATAAGCACATCAAATTTCTTTTGTTTTTTTTTTTTGGCGTGGTATATCGTTTTCATCTTTTATTTTAAAATATATATATTTTTATACCTAACATGAATTTCCTGTAATCTGCATATAGTTAGGCCATGAATCTACCAATCTGTCTTTTAATGGGTATATTTCAGCCCTTTATATTTAATGTAATTTTTGCTATGTAAGTCTGCCATTTTATTTTTTTCTTTTTTCTTTATTTCTGTTTTTTCTTTTCTGTATATTAGTTTTTTAATAATTCTATTTTTATTTATATATAGTGTTTTGAGTTTATGTCTTTATAATAATGTTTTAGTTGTTGCTGTAGGCATTATATTTCACACACACATACATATATATTTAACTATATATAGTCTACTACATGTAGAAACTTTATGTCCTTTTAAGTCCCTTTTCCTCTCCCATTTATAAGTTTCTTAAATATTTTTTATGCGTATTTTAAGAAGTACATAAGAAAATGTCACAGCCATACAAGGGTGGAGGCCTACACTCCCCAGTCCTCCCTTTCTTTTTTCTTTTTTGAGACGGAGTCTCGCTCTGTCGCCCAGGCTGGAGTGCAGTGGGGTGATCTCGGCTCACAGCAAGCTCCGCCTCCTGGGTTCATGCTGTTCTCCTGCCTCAGCCTCCCAAGTAGCTGGGACTACAGGCGCCCGCCACCACGCCCGGCTAATTTTTTGTATTTTTAGTAGAGATGGGGTTTCACCATGTTAGCCAGGATGGTCTGGATCTCCTGACCTCGTGATCTGCCCGCCTCGGCCTCCCAAAGTGCTGGGATTACAGGCATGAGCCACCGCGCCCGGCCTTCCCAGTCCTCCCTTTCTGATGGGAATGGGGGCTGGGGCCACAGGTTTTTCTGTGGTGTTAGGTAGATTACTGGATACAAGTTTCCTGCATTGCTAGTCTTCCTCTTTCCTGATCCTTTGGCTAGAGTGTGCAGGCTTTCTTAAATTTTTTTTTTGTGTGTGTTCCTTGTCATTTCCAGGGGCTGGCTTCTCTATCACTCATTTTAGGATACATTAGGCAAAAAGAAAATCACCATATTTTTCCTTGGGTCCCAAGCTGGTCTCACTTTTTCTCTCTACCTTTCAGAATATTGTGTTTTATATATAGTGCCCAGGGTTTTTAGCTGTATTTGACAGCAGGAAAAGGGAGAAGTATGTCTACTCCATCTTTTCCTGAAACTGGAATTCCCTGTTCTATTAAATGCTGATCAGAGTATGTTATTTCTACTCTCTATAAGTAAATTGACAAGAAGCTAAGTAGTTGACACCAAGGAAAGTAAGAGAGCTATTATTTTCAGGGTGGTTATATTTAATAGAAGAATTTTTAAGATACTCAAATCAAAGTAATGAAAAGAGGAAGAAAGATTCCACCAATTGCTGTGGGTGTTTATAAACAAGAATGATCATAATTAATTTAGGCAGGATCAGGAAAAGCTTTTAGGAAATGGGTTTGAAAGAACCTAAGGGGGCTGGATAAGATTTTGACAGATGGGTAGAGAAGTGGAAGACGCATTGTAGGTGGCAGAAATAAAATGAGTAACATTCTTTGTCTTTCTGGGCATAAGCTCTGATGGCATACAACTGTTTGATAGGCTAATAGATGGGTGCCCCTTGGCGGTGGCAGGCAGCGCTGTTTATGTATTTATTTCACAAGGTTGTCTTTCCCTTCTTATACTCAGACCTATGCCAGAGATTATGATTTGTTGGTCTTGGGGAAATAAAGACAGATATCATTGTTTTTGGTTTTAAAATTTCTTAGGTGGTTATAGTGTGTGGCCGGGATTGACAGATGCTACAGCTGCATCTCTAGATAAACACAGTAAATTAATTTAATTTTGTTTAAATCAGTAAATAGTTAACTTAGTGTCTGCTACATGCTGGGGGAGTTTTAGGCTATAGAAGGTGGGACATCTAATATCTTTTAAAACTCCTGCGAACTTATAGGTACTGTGACAGATACTTTCACCTAAATTATTTCAGGAATTAATGATCTAGCAGGAGAGACAATTTAATACAAAGTTGATTGTTTTAAATGCCATATAAATAGAGTTACAAAATTAAAAATAGAGTTATAAAATTACTGGAGTGGAGATGGGGACAGATATGAGTAACTAAATTATAGGAACTAAAAGTAAGAGGGTTCTTCGAGATGAACCAGTCCAGCCTCTGCATCTGACAAATAAGGAAACTGAGGCTCAAAAATCAGTAATTTTCTCAAGGTTACAAGGCTTGGGAAAGATCCAAGGAAAAAAAGTTTCCCTGATTCCAAGGTCAGTGCTATTTCCACAGACCTGCAAAGGTAAACATACCTCTTTGGTGAAGGAAACAATGACTGTTTTCTTAAACATGTCTATGAAGTTACCATCTGAAAGTTTCTTTACTTAGTAGTACAGTGGGTAGAAGCTTGGTTCTGCAAAACGCATAGGGAGGATTTGGTTGAGAATTTGTTTAGTATAAATATAGCCTTTGAACCAAAACATTTCACAAACAGCATAACAGCAGGTAGTATCTATGGAGAGCATCTGGGGTCATCACCTTATTCAATGTTTTCTAAGCTGTTTTTGCCAAATTAGCAAAAGAAAAAAGTATAATAATTTCAAAAGATAAGATTTTTATTTACTAGAATATCCTAAAGATTGTTAATTTAGTTTTTGTGGCTTTTTTTTTTCCCTTCATCAACATAGAAAATGGATCTTTTATGTTTCTGTTTTATATTGAACAATGTGGGATCACCCTTAAATTTAAAGAAGTATTTGATTATACCTGAGTCAAAGAATGTTGATACGGAAAGTGAGAAAAATTTTTTTCATTTCAGACCCTTCATAAGATCTGTAAACACTGTTAAACTATTATCGTAATTTTTAATACAATATTATTTTTAAGTCAGATTAATTGGTCTGAAAAAATATACATAATTTCTTTTGCAGATTTAACTGGGTATGATCATGATTTATAGGCTGATTTTCCTTAATGATATTTTAAGAGTGTTTCAGTAGATTTTTTTGTGCATATGTTTCAGTCAGTAAGGAGGCTAAGGACATAAGACCCAATATGGTTCCCTTTGTATAACATTGAACAGTTACTTTCTTGAAAAAAGTTTTTTCTGTAAAGTGAGGACATTGAAGTAAATGACATTTCAGGAGTATCGTAGTTCTGATAATCTGTGATTAAAATAAGTAAAGCTAAAAAGCCACAAGTTATTGAAATTAAAAAGCATGTCCACGTAACCAGTGGCCTACATGTCACATTACAACATCCTGAATCTTTTTTAATGCTGTGTTGGTTTTGCTAACTTTAGCTAATGTTCTTTATTTTTACCTGCTAATCCTCTGAAAACCTGTGATTTAAGAAGAAATTTTATTTTTTTTTGAGACGGAGTCTTGCTCTGTTGCCCAGGCTGGAATGCAGTGGCGTCATCTCGGCTCACTGCAACCTCCACCTCCCAGGTTCAAGCAATTCTCCTGCCTTAGCCTCCCGAGTAACTGGTTTTACAGGTGGCTGCCACCACACCTGGCTAATTTTTGTAGTTTTAGTAAAGACAGGGTTTCACCATTTTGGCCAGGCTGGTCTTCAACTCCTGACCTCGTGATCCACCCGCCTCATCCTCCCAAAGTGCTGGGATTACATGCGTGAGCCCACTGCACCCGGCCGAAATAAAAATTTTTAGATGATAATTTTTTTGTATTGCCTGATTCACAAATTGGTGCATTTTCTGTGTGTTTAACACCTAAAGTCTATCTCCCCCTTTAAATTCCTTCTTTTTCTGCAAAAGACTGGAATCTGCTACTTTAACAAGAGATATATGATGATAAATGTAATGTATACCGGAAAGAATATATTATTTCTTGTACATTGTACTACAAATATTAGAGGAAAATAATTTTTTAAAAAAATATTAAAAATAACTAGGTTTGGATTATGATGTATTTTTAGTAATTTGAGCTGCCTGTATTTTAAAAAAATGAAATCTGTCTTCTCGTTAACACTATTGCTCTGTGTTATTTAAAAGTAAAACAAAGTATGACTTGGTTTCTCTATTTTTTGGTTCCCTTTTTTATTATACCTCCCTACCCCATCTCTCTCTGCACAGGGTGGGTATTCTGCTCCCTCCTTCTCTCCTTGGCAGGGCTCCTTCCAGGGGATCCCACGGACTGTTCCACCGCACCGCAGACAGAGTGAGTCTGTGTCTCTCACTCCTATCCTGCTCTGGCTTCCCCTTCATGGTATTTCCCTTCTGCATGACCTGTTCCTCCCCAGCACCTCCTTTTCTATCCTGAGTGCTCTGCAGGCATCTGCTAAAGCAGCACTCTCTGTGGTCTCCTCTCTTAACACTTCCTTTTACTGCATGTAAACAGACCTCTACTTAGAGCCTTATGGAAGCTGTCTGAGGTTAATTTCATTCTAATACTGTTTAAACCTATTGCCAGTGACCCTAGACCTACTGACATGCATCTGTCTTTAATGCATTTTCAAAACCTTGAAATATGTGAATAAAAATTGTTGTGTTATCTAATTGTTTTAAAAAGTGTACATGTGATCTACAATGGTATGATGGACAGATGCATAATGTGTGGGGAGCAGGCTTACTAGACCATTGCACATTTCTTTAAATAATATTTCCTAATTAAGGGCTTGGATTGCATTTCACTGTCATCTAAAATAAAGATATTTCTAATTGTTTTTTCTAAAAGTGGTTTAAAACAACTAAGATGTTTTTGTAATTTATCAGCTTTACAGCACAGAAGAAATGGCTTTTGAATATGCATGGTTTACTAACATTTCTAATGATTTAGTTACTGTTTGACCTTAAAATTTTTGTTTATGTTAAATCTCTTTTCCAAAACAGTGTGGGTTATTTTGTTTTATGTACTTAAGTATGCCTGGTAAGTTGGTTATATTTTATCTTTTTTGAAAAGTCACCCATAAAAAGCTATTATTAATGAAAATGAAGTGTAAATACAGTCAATCAGAGGTATTTTTATGCCTTCTCCAAGGATTTATCATGATTTGTGATTCATTCAATTTTTTCATTATCCATTTCCATGTGAAGTATCAAAGGTGTCAAAGGAGGAAATTTTAAGCAATTAGGAATGTGATTTATTTAAAGAAAATTTTATTTCTTGAATTAGCCAAAATTATGAGGTATCGACATGAATTCCAGAGAAGGCATGAAGTTTATTTTTTGGCTGCTACACCTCTCCTTCCCTTCTGTACTTTTTGTTTTAAAGAAAAATCGTTTCTGTAGGCTTTTATGTGATGTTCTTTAGTAGCAAGTTCGTTTGTTTACTGGAAGCAATGAGAAAAGGAGTTTTTTTGTCCTCCTCCTTTTCTATCTCCCACCACCTTGGTAACTCCTCCTTCTCCCACCACCTTGGTAACTCCTCCTTTTCACTTCTCTCGTCTTCAAGTAAGTTGCTTTCTTTTCTCCTCTATTTAAATAATCCCAGCACAAAAAGAATCATACTAAAATGCTAGTCAAGTCATCTGAAATTTCAAAGGGCAGATACAACAAATTATATGTTCTTAGGCTTGTGGCCAGTAAACAGCAAGGTTTGAGATTTCCCCTCAGATTAGCACACCCACCTGTGTACTTACTCAAGCCCCCTTTTAGCCTGTATCCTTTTTTGTCACCATGTTCCTCCCCCTTTCTCCTTCTCCTCAGCTAGCTGTAATACGGAATTGAAGTTTGGGATTAATTATTCTGTATTACAAATAGAGTTTCAGCTTTACTTTTAAAAACATGTTTATCAGAAATACCCATTTCATTGGTTTATTTGTATAGCATTAGAATTTTCTTGTCTTTTCCTTGATTCAGTGGCTCTCCATTTTCAAGTGCTTCTTCTCCTTCCTTCTTGGGTTCAGAGCTTTCCTTTTTGTTTCCAACTGTGAAGCAGCACTATCCTACAATTCCTACAATACTAGTAAGACCTGCTTTTTTTTTTTTTTAAACCTTTCTAGATCAAAACTTCTTTGCATCTTCAGATTAACAAAAAGAAAGTTTTGGTTCTCCAGAGTTTGGATGTATTAGTCATCTAGGGAAAAAAAAAAAAATATATATATATATATATATATATACTCATATATATATATATGAGTCTTTTCCTGAGTAGGTTCTCACGGCCTGTGCATCTAAAAGCACTGGCCCTAGGATTTGATCTTTGAGACTTGTAGGTCCCTGTTTGTGCGAAGTAATGACCAGAGGGCCTGTTCACAGCCTTTTAATAACTATTAATGAGCTTGAAAGGTTCCTTTAGAGGGGAAATATGCTCTAAACTACTACTCTATTTTGAATTCACCCTGAGAACAGCTAAAGCAGTTTACTAATAAAGGGTTTTTTTTTAGTTATAAAATATAGAAAAGAAAGGTATGAAATTATTAGAATAAATCTAGTGGTTTTCCAGAGGGTTTTGAAACAGATCTCTTCTTTTCCTATACTAAACTTGTAGTCAGATGATACTTGTCTCCACATTTAATCAATATGTGGGTCCTAGTACTCATGTTTGGAGAGGTTGATTGTGCTTAAGAAGATAGTTGAGAGATTTCTCCAGTATAATGTTTCATTAAAAAGTTCTTTGATGACTTCTTTTTTTTTTTTTTTTTTTTTGAGACAAGAGTCTTGCTCTGTTGCCCAGGCTGGAGTGCAGTGGCCAGATCTCAGCTCACTGCAAGCTCCGCCTCCCGGGTTCACGCCATTCTCCTGCCTCAGCCTCCCAAGTAGCTGGGACTACAGGCGCCTGCCACTACGCCCATCTAATTTTTTGTATTTTTAGTAGAGACGAGGTTTCACCGTGTTAGCCAGGGTGGTTTCAAACTTCTGACCTTGTGATCTACCTGGCTGGGCCTCCCAAAGTGCTGGGATTACAGGCGTGAGCCACCACGCTCGGCCTCTTTGATGACTTCTTGAACATCAGCTTGAGGGAACTGCCTTTATCCTCTAAATGGGGAGGCGAGGTAAAGCTTGGCTGTGAGTCTTCAGTAACAGCAGTTTGTTGTTTTTTAAGTTACGGAAGTATAGTAGACCTTCTAGTATGAAGATAGTCCGTTCTAAATATGCAGAGTGAGATAATTAATGTTTACAGGGAGTATTTAGCCCTCGTCACTCTAGAAAGCTGTAGTGGCCAGCAGTGTTCAAACTGCGTTGAAGAATATAGGAAAATAGGCGAGGCGCGGTGGCTCACGCCTGTAATCCCAGCACTTTGTGGGGCCGAGGCAGGCGGATCACGAGGTCAGGAGATCGAGACCATCCTGGTTAACACGGTGAAACCGCATCTCTACTAAAAATACGAAAAATTAGCGGGGCGTGGTGGCGGGTGCCTGTAGTCCCAGTTAGCTACTCTGGAGGCTGAGGCAGGAGAATGGCGTGAACCCATGAGGCGGAGCTTGCCGTGAGCCAGATCGCACCACTGTACTCCGGCCTGGGCAACAGAGTGAGACTCTGTCTCAAAAAAAAAGAATATAGGAAAATAGAGATAAATGGAAGGTTCTGGCCTTTATTATTTTTCCTTCTCAGGAAATTTTGACTTACATTTCTTAAGTATATTACTAGTCTCTACTTCATGATACTTTTTTATTTCAAATTAAATTTTCTCTAGGTTAGCAGAAAATATCTACATTTAGGTCTTTCCTGCTGTTAGTAGGGATTTGAGCTTTTGTACAAATTCACTTAACTGGCATTGGTGTAGTCTTTCTACTCTAATTTCCAACTGTGTAAAATTGGGAGTAATAAATAACCTACCTCAGAGTAGGAAAATTTAATAAAAATAATTGTTTTTGGCAAATAGAAAGCCTTCCTGGTAATTCCAAATAGCATTTCTTGCCAGAGCATGTACTTACAGGAATACTTGACTTTTCAAAAAGTATGTTTCGAAATAATACCTATTTCTTACTGTGTCTAACTAAGCTTTTAAAACTTGCTCTTTAGTACCTGGCTTGATAAATTTAGAAATCCTATTTATTTTTACCTTCCATGTGCAGTGACTTAATGCGAAGGGAAAAAGTTCTTTTAAAACAATAAAAATTACATAAATGCATCTATATTTGTCGTAATAGCCTGACAGTTTCTTGATGTAGTGTTGTGTCCACCATAATTATATTAAGAATGACAAATTTATATTGTCTTACATCTTCTTTCTCTTACAAATTTCAGGGGGTGTTTCACAAACATTTTTGACATGCAGTGATTATAAATTTATTTTACATGACAGCCCAGTATACATTTACTGAGAGAAAGTATGTATTTACAACAACCTGATTCACTGTGTATGTATATTTAAAATTCTGATAAAAGATTCATGGGACAATACTTTCTCTTAAAATATTTGATCCTCTCATATTTTTTCTCTCTATTCTGTTTTTTTAAATGTTGCTAGCAACCTGCAGTTAAAAAACATTGGTCTATTTTGCCCATATAAATATGAGCATTTAGGTTTTAATATACTGACTTTAAATATGAAGGCTAAGAAGTGTAGATAATTTAATGTGCATAGATTTTGTGTGTATAATCAAAGTAAAGCTTTTTTTTTTTTTTGCAGAAATACTGTTTTTAAGTGGTGCCTCCTAAGAATTGTCTATGGCAGGAAAAAATGTTTATTGTTGAATATTAATAGAGTGGCTTAAATGGCTGATGAGCCCTTTGTAAGAGCCAGCTTTTCCTCAGTTTAACCAAAACGTTGATCTTACTGAATGCCCACCTTTGCCATTTGCCTGCTTATCCTCGACTGCACTGTCTCAGTTTAGTAATTCACTGTACTTATTCTTTTAGTCCTTTTGGCTGGAGAATTGTTCTCTTGAAATTCATACAGTTGGATAATCTTTCTAAGAGCTACTTAAAAATTACACTTTCACAAATATTCCTATAGGAAACTCTTATGTATATTTTTAAAAATTTAGCCATACATTTTAAGAAAGGGGAAAAGACTAATATTAATTGAATACCTATTATGTGTTTTAATGTCTTAAGTACTTTTCTGGGCATTTCATTTAAATTATTTGATTCTCACAACAACTCAGAGCCAGAGATATTATTCCAATTTTATAATAAGGAAGATGCAAATAAATCATAAATAAATCAATAAATGATGTAGTAATTTGCTCAGGGTAAGTGAACAAACCATAATTAAATTCTGTTCTACTTCCAGAGTCTGAACCTTAAATATTTTTTGTAAATACAATGACTCTTCCTTCAAAATGTACATTTGTCCTATTTATAATAGTAATGTAGTGACTCATTATGGAGGAATTAGAAGAAACATTTTGGTATATTTCCTTTCAGTCTTTTAAATATTATGTTATAAAGTTGAATTTATGTATTTTCAGTCGTTCTGCTTTTTTCACATAGTATCATTTTATATATATACACACATTTTTATATGGTAAATATTTCTTGAAATTAACATTTTAATGGCCACTTGATAATGCATTATGTGGATATATTCTAAATTAATTTTTTTCTATTGGGCATTAATGTCGTTTCTAGTTACAGAGAGGAATATTGGTAAGCAGTTTATCTTTGTGTATAAATCAGTGTCAGTGTCTCTCTTTTCTTAGATTTCCTGGAAGGATATCATTTAATTAAAGGGTATACACTTTCTAAGGCCACTTGATGTGTCAAATGTGTATTTGACAATTGTTGAATTGTCAAACATGCTCATAATGTATAAATTAACAAGGCTCAATCTGATTGACTCTAATGTGTGACTATAATCAATTTTATACATAAGAATAGCTTCAGCTTCCTTAGAAATTAGCTCTGGGAGTGACTTTTCATAAAAATAAAATATTTTTGAATGAAATGCAAACTAGAGTAACTCAGTAAAAAAACTTTACTAATTCAATTTCGTGTATGCTCATTTTTAATTTAAATATGGTTAACATCAAATATGGTATTTTGTACCTTTTCGCAGCCAATTTCAAGGACTATCTAGTATAGTCATTGGTTAAATGACTAGAAATGTGCATCTAACTCATGGTCCAATAGGCCTTCCACAAACGTAGGCATGGGTTAGTTTCTTGGAATTATGAGAAGTGCAGCGTTAGTGGTTTCTGTATAAAGCCTTTTATTACAATCTGCTTTGCAGCTTGTGGGATTTTTTTTAGCCAGTCTTTTTTCTGTACCATAATGCTTACAGTATTCTTGTACTCTGGATAAATATACTGTGTCTATTGATCACATCAATGGAACTGTACTATTATGATGCCATTTAGGTTTTTTTTCCTGAACTACTCTACATCATCTGAGAGGTAGATGTTAATGGATTCTGTGTCTTTGAGATATAGACCCACGAAATTAATCATCTAAGAGTGATTGTGCCTCTGTAGTAAATGCTTACTTAAGTCCCTCTTAATCACTTTGATACTTAAAAAAAAAAAAACCAAACCCGTTAACTGGTCATCAACTTAGAAAAGCCATTGAACTCTTTATTTCAGAAATTATTTTTAAACAATTTATATTATCAATCTGCTATCCTCTAAATTTTCTGAGGTCTAGAGGCACCATTTTGAGATACAGAGGAATAAGAGCATTCCTTTTTCCCAAAAAGCACTGGAAGCTGTGATTGGCTTCATGTGATCTCTAAAGCGAAAGTCTTTAAATCTAGTTGTAATACAGTATTAGGGATACAAATTAAGTCTTTCTATACTGATGTGCAGAGCCTCACTTATAATTTGCATCATATTCAGGTTAAGATCAGATTATACCTTTAGTGGTCTTCAATGGCAATAATTAAACTGGCCGGGCGTGGTGGCTCACGCCTGTGATCCCAGCACTTTGGGAGGCCAAGGTGGGTGGATCACAAAGTCAGGAGTTCGAGACCAGTCTGGCCAACATAGTGAAACCCCGTCTCTACTAAAAATACAAAAAAATTAGCCGGGCATGGTGGCAGGCGCCTGTAATACCATCTACTTGGGAGGCTGAGGCAAGGAGAATCGCTTGAACCTGGGAGGTGGAGGCTGCATTGAGCCAAGATTGCACTACTGCACTCCAGCCTGGGCAATAGTGCAAGACTCCATCTCAAAAATAAATAAATAAATAAATAAATAAATAAATCTAACACTTATTTAATCTTATAATATGCAGAAGCCTCTGAAATTACTTAAAAATTCATTTCTACCTCCTTCATAAGAGGTTACTTGGGACTAAAACTTTTTAGGTATTTGGAGTATGAATATTAAATTTTATCAGAATTACTTTCAATATTTTGTTTGGTAAGAGTCTTCAAGTGATTCCTCTTAAGTGTGTGTGAGAAGTTTTACACATGCCTTTCTGAGGTTATGAGTATTTGTACTAACTCGCAAATTACTTTAGTAAGAAAGTATAAATCTATTTAATGTTTTTGTTATGTACAAATATATTAAATGAAATAATGAATAATGCCTAGGAAAACACAACAATAGCAAAGCAAATACTTGTGGCTGCCACCCAGTCATGGCAATCCTTGGTGTTGTGTGTGGTCTCTGATGCCATTGTCCTGTCTTTTTCTTGTCTCTGCTCTCCCATTATGCCATTGGCAAGGAGTTGAGAAGTTAGTCCATTACTTCTCTGACAAAGCGTGGTACAGTACAATTTCGGATTTTTTCCTACCACCTTCCTCATAATCACTTTTTTTGGTTTTTTTTTCCAGTTTGCATGATGCATGTCAGAGCCTGCATGAAAGTACAGGCATGTTACAGATGGCTCTATTTCCACCTTCCTTTTTATGGTTAAAATGTATTTAATAATAACAATAAACTTGTATGTACCCAGGAAAAAAATTAGCTAAATTCTGTGTCTGTTATGCAGTAGCATTATTACACTTTAGAACATTTCCTGCTTTCTATTTGGTGCACTTTGACATATTTTTACTCCATCAGGACTTGACATTTTAGCTGCCATCTTTTGCTAATAACCCTAGAACAAGAATGCTTATGAAAACTGGCATGAGTGCTTTTCCGTATGCTAATGCTGTAGATCTTTGAAGTGTCGTAAAACAGTAAAGGTGAACTGTTTTGCTCATTGGTGGGTACTACTTTGCCTTTTTTCATGTTCATTATGTTTCCCCCAATGGGTCACTGTGGAATCACCTCTTTCCAGAAATACTGCTCCACACTGTGGCTTGAGTTTAGTATCTGAAAGTTATCCTGGGTAGGCTAGATCATCTAAGAAGGAAATAGGACATTATCCAGGAAAGTTAGTTCCTTAATATTGGTATTATATCTGCCTGTAGTGTTTTAAAATATATTAAAATAATCATCTGGTTATACTGTATATTCTGAAAGCCTGTGAACTCATCAGAACTAACCAAATTGCACAGAATATTAAATTTTAGTGCTGTATTTTAAGAAATTATCTGATGGTTCAAATTCTGGCTTTGCCACTTGCCAAAATGTTTGAATTTGAACACGTTAACATTTTTTAACCCCAGTTTACTCATTTATAGAAAGAAAAGAACAGTATGTTTCACCTAGGGGTCTCATGGTAACTAGAGATCATGCATGCAGACTCAAGAGTTTGAATCTATACCCTTGGAAAGAAGGGAACGCTGTTCTCTAAGAGCCCAGAGTATGACATTTCTCAGGTGTTTATGTGTCAGGCATTGTACTGTTACTGGTTATTATTTGCAACAATTCCATGAAGTATATATACTGGTATTACCCTCATTTTGTAAATTATGAAATTCCATTTCAGGGTAGTGGGATTATTTTTACCCAATATCTCACCTCAGTGATAGATCTATAAGTGATAGAGCCAGGATTCAAACTCAGATCAGCCTGATTGTAAAAGCTAAGTGACTCAGTATTGTGTTGTACTACCTCCTTTGTAGAGAGAAGAAAGTTCTCTCTAAACTTGCATGTCTTTGCTCTGGTTCTTATCTCCAGGAAGGCAGTTAAAGATCCTTGACTTCTGTGTCATATTAAATATGCTTGATGTGGATTCAAAACTTATAGATAGTGTTGACATTATTGAACTATGTATTTGAAGCCTAGCAACCTCATATTCTAGTTTATTATTATATTGCTAAAGAACTTGCTTTTGTTTCGAAGACCCAGTTACAAAATAGCTATGACTTGAACTCATCATTCTTATATGCTTTAATAATCATAGAAGAAATTTATTGAGGACATACTATGTGCTAGGAAGTCCTATGCTAAATGTTTTACATATGTTGTCATATTTAATTATTAGAATTTTCTAGTAGCTGAATGCTTGTTAAGATACTTTCCCCAACCTATTTCTAGTCTTCAGATAAAAAACATTTGGTGGCTAAGATTTTAAAAGGTCATTATGAGAGGTACTTATGTATAACATGCTTGTGTATAACATGCAGTCAGTATTTCCTGCTATCCTTCTAAACATGAATCATTAAGCTAACCAGACTTATTTGGAGGGAACAATTGTTTTTTCCTATTAGATTATTTTTCATCAGTGTTTATTTTTTGAAACTAGTTTTTATTTAATCATTAATGCTTCATCATTGACCTAAATCACTTTGGTAATTCTTGGCCAAATAAGTAATTCTTGAATATACCACTAATATTTATTTATTCACTTATTCATTTATCTAGCAAATGTATATTTAATCCCTACTTTGTGCCAAATAATAGAAATACCAACTATAACGAAAAATGAATAAAGCATGGTACATGCCTGAAAGGAGCTCCAAGTCTTTGGCTATCTTTGTAAAGCAGCCTAAAATAGACATTTACAATTATCATTAAAGATGTCTACCAAGCCTTTGCACAACCCCCCTGTAGTGCCTATTGCTGACATTATTGAACTTGACGCATGGAACTCTTTAATCTGAGAATTATCAGAATGGTGTGCTGAAGTTTACATGTATAACTAAAGTAAGACTTGAAGTTGCTGAGTTCAGTTAGAGGCACTTAGCTCTGTAAGTCTGGGGATAGGTCCTCATTTTGATGCTTCAGTAACCAAGCCCTCCACAAGTTTCAGGATTAAAGTTTTACTCATTTGTGACTATAGGGAGTAGTTAAGATATGAGATCTTTCGTAGTGGGGGGATTCCTTTTGCCCTCTAGGTTTTGTGGGCTTCCGAGGCTATGAAATCCATCGATTAGCGGAAAGCCTTCCCAAAGGCCTTTTTTGGATACAAGCCAATACCTCATCTTGCCTGTCCCCTTCAAATCTTTTTCAGTCCTCTCCAGATTTTATGCCAAATAGCTTGTGATATGGTTTTTCTGACAATTTCGTCCCCACTGGTTACATTCCTCACTGGTTCCACTGGAGTGATCATTCTAAAACACACACATTAGATATTCTGATTCCTCTTCTTAAAATTCATCTATATCTCCCATCATCTACAGCACAAAGTCATAGCTACTTAGCCTGACATGAGTCCTAGGAGCTGGCCCTTAGCTATGCTTTTGCACTATCCTTTCAAATTCAGTCTAAAATTTGAAGTGACCAGAACATGGCATGTTCTTTTTTTGCCTCTGTGTTTGGCATGTACTAGCTCATTACACAGAATATTCTTCCCTTCTTGTTTATTTGATAAACTCCTATTCACCCTGTTAAAACTCAGGGCAGATTGTTCGCGGTTCTGGAATGCCTCCTGTGACCTCTCCAGGCAGGCATGTTTTCTTTTTGTTCCCATATGTTGTTACGCTTAAGACATGATCTCACCATTCCTTTACCTTATTGTCTCCCTCACTAAGCTCCTCAAGCACAGGAACAAAGTTATGTTCAGCTCCAGATTTTCTCACTCCTAGTACAGTACATGATACATAATAAACATTTAAAAAGTGTATGCTTTTTGATATTCATTCCTATTTGTCTTAGCCATGAGGATATGGGATCTTTTTATATTTACATTCTAAAAATGTCTGAGGGCATCCTTTTAATGACCATAGAAGCAGCAGTGGATGTGAGCAAGATGAATTAACATCTGGCATTTATATGAACACAGTTGAATGTTTAGTATTTGGGGAAATTGTAGCAACAAGCCATCAGAACACATCTCTGCCTTGCTTGCTAGAGGTTAAGAGGTAGCTTGTTGTTCAACTTGCTAGCAGGGGTAATTAGCGGCAATCCAGTCCTTAGTGGGTAACCACTTCCATGTAGTCTTCCACATACCAGGAGCAAGTTGTTTCCTTGTTCCTCACATTATAGGTGTTTCTTATTCCTCGTGAAAGAGACTTTTTGTTTTTACAGTAGTGGAATTGATTTTCCAAATATAGTTACCAAATAAATAATAAAGCAAGACACTGATTTGGGGATAGGGAAATTATATCATGCCACAAAAATTAATTTTTAATAAAAATATAAAATTTTATTTCGCATATAGAAACCACTGATTTAGTTAATGTAATTCACTAGTAGTATAGATGTCTAACTTGTAGTTTAGACATTTATTTATAAAACTGTTAAATTCCTCTCGGTTGACTCAACATTTTGTTATTCTTTAAAAACTGGATGTTTTCTAATTCATTAATATTTGATATGAAGCTTTATTGCATTTAATACAAGTAGCTTGTCTTTCTGACTCTGCTGTATTTCCGTTTATTTCTCTGATAAGCAGTGGTCAGTTGGGTACTGTGAGTAATCAAAACAGTACAAGTGGTGAGTACAAAACAGTACAAATTTATAGTGCACAATGGCCCTTTCCTGGGCATTTCTGGAGGTAGGTTGTCTTAATAATCAGTTTATTACCTGTCTTAATTGAAAAATCATCTTTTTATGCTTTTCACTGATAGCACATGTTTATACCTTTTTTCTTATTGGCAATAGACATATTACAATAAAGTCCATTTTTAAATTGTCACTGATATTTTCAGAAGTCTTAAATTGCTTTAAGAGTTTTAACTTGGAACTAGAATATCTTACCATGTTTGAGGGTGAAAAGGAAAAACAAATCCCCATTCAACCAACCAATTGATCGTGCCTCCTTCCTAATTACTTTTTATTCCCTTTGGTAGATTTTGGTTTGTTTAATATGGTCCTGCTCTATTTTTTCACTAATCTTTCAAGGTTTTTGATCACTTTGGCACGGTCATTTTTATCTAGGGAACCCCAGGGAGAATCTGTTGATTTAATTATGTGGTGATTTTAGTATCTTCCGTTTTGCGGGACAGTTCATTCATTTTTGTGTTGATGTGCTGTGAAAATACCCAGTGACTTTAAAGTCTGGGATATTTAGCTTGAGGCAGCAATTGAGCTGACTTGTTTATTTCAAACATTCTGCAATACGATTTGATGTGACATATTTCTGTACAGATTAATTTTGAGTAGTCACTGTCTTGATTTTTTTTTAATGCAAGTCAGCTGTATGCCATCATAGCCAACCATCCTCCATGAGTTGATGAGCCTTGCCCTCAGTCACTCCCAATCCAGCCATAATCTAATCCCTGGCTGCTGATCCTGGGCAGCCATTGTCCAGTGCTGGTCAGGGAGGTGGAAGAACTGAAAAAAACACAAATGATGCAGTATAAATAGATCCGCCCCTTCTATTGGGGAAATTAGAGCTACTATGTAGATTTATTTGTGGATTAGCATAGCAAAAAAAACTTATTAGTGAGAAATGGCCCTCTGAATTTCATGTTGTAAAGCCCTTTGCCAAAGTTTTTGACATTTTAGCCCACATTATTTAAACAGTGTGTGTGTGTGTGTGTGTGTGTGTGTGAGAGAGAGAGAGAGAGAGAGGAGAGAGATAATGCATTTGTAGCAAATACCCCTGTATCAGGACAGGCCCAGTTGGCCCTGCCCATATATTTTAACTATTTGGGCCATTGAAAGATAGCTTTCAGATTTGTATTTTTTACTGGATACCCCCAAATCATGGAAATGGCATAGTTCCTCTGATTGTTTTTGAAACATAACTACACAATGAGCTTCAGGGAAGTACATGTGAGGCACACAGACCCTAAGAACCTTGTCATAGGCTTCTGTTCTTTAGTTGCAGTTAGAGGCAACTTCACATTTGTTTTACTCTGAGCCATCATTCAAAAGGCTGATTATTCTAAATTTAAGTAAATGAATGTTTACTTTTCATTAGGGTAGATCTGTTTTTCACATGTCAGCCATAATAGGAGTGAGACAGAACAAATAAACTTTGAAACATTTTATTTGGAAACTTTTCAACAAGAATATTAAAAATAGGTTAGCATTAGCTAAATGTCTCGACCTATATTTGTTAAATAAATAGAATTTCACATAAACTGAGAATATAGTGATTTACTCTAAATCTTGTTTATCTGCTGGTGCTTTTCATTCTTGACAGAAGAACAACACTTGTTAACATGGTGTACAACTTTTTTTTTTAACTTTAATGTAAGTAGTATTCCGAAGGTCACCGTTAACACCTGAATGTTTTGTGGAGGTTAAACCAAAAGCTGTAGAATCATTCTGTCAAGCTCTAAGGTTTAAAATACCTAATGAATCTATTATGGCAGGAATTTTTTCTATAATAAATTAGTACTTTAATGTTTTCTTTTTCTCATTTAATTTTGGATCTTGTTCAGTGTTTACTGCCTGTATCATTTTTTGTTTGCATTATCACTCTTGTATGTGTCTAATTTGCTTGAATATTGCAGTTCATTTTTTAATTAAAAGAAACTCCACATATTTTCCATATTAAAGCCATAATAAGTACCAACACAGCCTAATTGGTATTTATATTAAATCTGGGTGGAATTTCTAAGAACTTGCTGCTAATGTTGTTTTTAATTTTAACAGCCTCAAGTACTACAGCCTTCCAGCAGCCTTCCCAGACCCACAGATCACACCCAGGGAAAACTAATAAAGCCACAACGTATCGAGGCCCGCAGTGAATGCTCAATCCAAGACATGCATCAGGGCGGTGCACATCCGGAAGAAAGCTTTACACACGTCTTGCACCAAGAAAGCAACTATGGTTTGGAAGAGCAGCCTTTTTCATCAGGCCCACAATTAACAATGGATGTGGCTAAGAGTACACCTTCTGAAGCAAACTTAAACATTACTGTAAATGCTCAAGAGCCTTATCATTTGGCAAACAATCAAATTAGTGACATGCAGTTTATACCCACTTCTCTTCAGACACCTCCCGAGTCAAGTACAGTAGACCAGGCTAAGAGAGTTGGAAGAAATCAGTCTCCGCCAGTGGGTTATATGTCTCAGCCCAAGTCCTTGCAGCTTTTAAAGCCATCCATATTGAGTTCTTTGGTACCGCCTCCAGTTTCTGAATCATCTCCAAGTAGGACTCCCACTTGTAAAAAGTCACCAATAATCACAACATGTAATTCAGCAAAACTTCAGCCAACATCTAGTCAAACAAATCTTGCAAATAATCAGAATCTGAAAGCATCTAAGCTCCGCCCCCCCTCAGGCTCTTTCAAACAAAAACAAACAAACAGCCCCCAACTAGAGCCTCAAAGCTTCCAGGCCAAGACAAGCATCCCAAGGCCACTAACACAACGAAAAGAAATCATGCAGAATCCAAATGGCAATTTGCATTCTGGGGATTGTTTGGCCTCTAATCGATATTCTCGTCTTCCTAAACCAAAGATACATTAAGTACATAGCCATCACCTGCCAATTTGTTTCTTAAAAACAATCTCTTCTGTAATAGCTTTATGTGCAGCTTGCAGCTTGCTACTGTGGTGGAGGTTCCATTGAAAGCCTGCAAATCTTAAATTAAAATGTGGAAGCTTCTACTAGTTTGGCTCCTTCATTTTATATCCTGGTTGAAGTACATGCCATTTGAGCATAATTATCTCAGGTAAACACGAAAGTTTGCTTACCCATTTCAGAGGCCTGCCAAAGGCCCAAATCATGTTATCCATCCCTCTCCACGTCAGAAAATTCATAATATTTTACTGAGCAGGCAAGAAGTGTGCTTTGCTGGTTTAGTCCTATTAAGGTCTGTATTTATTGTGGTTGTCAGAACCTCACCCCTTTTCACTTGTCTCTCCTGTGAATATGGCTACTATTTTAACTAAAGATATGGTGATAATGGAAGATGGTAGTCTGTAAGCAGAGTTCTGGCCAGTGTTTTGTATATTTAAAAGGTCTATGCAAAAGCTTTGTGATGAATAAAGGAGATTAGGCTTTTAATGGAAAGTCTATGTAAGTTTTATTTTTCCTTGCCAGGGTCAGTCAGCTAATGTTACTGTTGATTCATTTCCCAAATTCCCCAGACTGAAAGTGTTTCTTATTACATATAAATCAGTTATATATTCCTTTACATCTTGTTTTACAAACACATGTGCATGCACACACACATATACACACACATACCATTTATGTTTGTATTTGTTACTGGGTAAATTTTGGAGCGCTTGAGATACACCTTGAAACCTGTACCTAAAGATGTATTCATTTGTAACATATGTTGGTGCTAGAGTTTTGCTGGTAATTCAGGCTTGAACCCTTAGGCTTGTGGATCCATGATAGCCATTTTAAGGTTCCACAGCATTATGTCTTTAATTGTAATATTTATATTTATTGATTTTCTGCTAATATCTGAAGACTGAAATAATGAACTTGAAACATTTGCACAAAACTTTGATGGGGTATAAATATACCATATATAGGGATTGTAAACTATTTTCTATAGCAAAACAAGTTAAAATATTTTGAGAAAAATAACAAATTTAAATAAGACTATCTTGAGAAAGCTGGAGTTCATAATATTCTCCCCCTCCCCCATCTCCAGTCTCCTAGGTTTCCCTTTTCTGTGTTTTTTGTTTTTTTCTGTTTGTTTTTTGAGACAGAGTCTTGCTCCATTGCCCAGGCTGGATTACAGTGGCGCAATCTCGGCTCACTGCAACTTCTGCCTCCCGGGTTCAAGCGATTCTCCTGCCTCAGCCTCCTGAGTAGCTGGGACTACAGGCATGTGCCACCATGCCTGGCTAATTTTTTTGTATTTTTAGTAGAGATGAGATTTCACCTTGTTGGTCAGGCTGGTCTCGAACTCCTGACCTCAAGTGATCCACCCACCTCGTCTATGGTGTATTTTTGAAAGACAATTTTTTAAAGGTAGATTTGGGAAAAAAATAGAATTGAAGATGGGAAATTTTGTTTTATTAAAAAGGTGCTAGAAGATGTTTCAAAGACAATATTCTTATTTTAATACGCTGTAGAAGGTAGGTGTGGAACCTCCATGCTACCATGTGCACAAACCTAATTATGCTTTGGGTCACTTGTCAGTTCAGTAAATCTGCCTTCCTCTTCTCCCAAATCATGTCATCTTTAGGTTGTTCACCTGCAGCTGCTTTAAATGAATTAGTATCTTTCAGATAGATAACCTTACAAGGAGAATGTTTGTTTTGAGCAGCTGACCAAAAATATATCAAACAGGATTATGGCCAAAAAGTCACTCAAATTTCTAGAGATTCCTTTAAAAGATGTATGTTGATGAAATTGCCCCTTTATAAGAAAAACAACAGCAAGTCTTTTAGTAGAAATTTGAAAGAAGTGTTTGCTACCATTTTGACCCATTATTCCCTTACCTATCAGATGAATTTGCCATTCACTGGATAGAAACCATTCTTGGATTTGGTAAGAGGTGAGCAAGACAAATCTTGTACCATACTCTTATGTACCAGCACTTCTGATGGAGAAGCAGTGAAGTTCAGAACGTTCTTCACATAGTCCAGATACTGTTAGAGTCAGGCAAATCAGCAAAGCACTTTGTTATGGAGATGACCCATGATGGCTGCAGTTGTAAGTGGGCATACATGTTCTATCATTTTGAAGGAGAAAGAAAACCGTTCTCACATGTTGCAAATATGTGAATCATACTATATTCCCCTAAAGTAAAACCAGTGACTTAGTGGTTTTTGGTTTATTTAGAAGTTGGTTTAGACCCTTATGAAACATTATTTACGAGTTGGCCTTATCCTTAAGGGAAAAGTTCTAAATTTTTAAATTTATTTTTAATTCCCTAGTCTGAGGGAAATGTCTTTATTGTCCATTACATAAAAATGTTGACTCCAGTAATTTATTTTTCTCTATTTTTTCCTCCATGTATTTACTCCATTTTTCTCTATTTTTTCCTTCCCTGATGGATTTGCAGAAATGTTAACCAATTAGCTCAACTTTTCTCTACCTTTGTTGAGTCTTAATCTTTTAGAAGATAGGCTTATCGTATATTTATGAAGCATAATATATTAAAAGAAAACAAATCTAGGATGCTTGCATGACATAAAGTATTTGCCTGCAGTTTTCATTAAAAACTGCAAGAATATCATGCTTGTCTGCTTCTTAGTAAATGTTAAGTCTGAAATGGAAGTGAGGATGTAACTCTACTGAATAATCAAAGATCATCTTAGATTTGGCTTGATCTGTGTTTATTGCTTCTATTAATGTAAATCAACTCTGTGCCAAATCCTCCTCCACAAACCATTTATTGTCTTAGTTCTAGTGGTATCAATGAAGATAGTTACAGTATATGAATTCTAAGTCCTGAGGAAGAAATTTTATGGGGTTTGTTAAGTTTCACATTCGTGAAAGAGGAAATTAGTAGAGTATTCAGACTTTGATATTTGGCTGTTAATGGGATGCATATCAAATTTTTAAAAGAAGGCTTGGCCTAAGGAGTTTATTGGTACAGGTGCAGATGATTTTAAGGCATTAAAGGATTATAGAGTTATGTCATTTAGACTGTTTCTAATAACTGAGACCATCTAACATTTTTCTTTTGGAGTCTCATTTTTATTTGTGCAATATTTTCAGGCATATAGGCTACTGTTCATTGTATTTATATATATATTAGAATTTACTAAGTACTTTAACAAGTAAAAATCTGAATATGAAAGAAAATATCAGATTTGCACTTTAAATGAGCTTAATTGCTTGAAGTTGTGCCTGAAATATCGAATTGCCTCCTATTGGGTGTGGCTTTGTTGAAATAAATTTGTAATTGTTGCTGTTTGAAGATATCAGTACAGCTGTTCACAGAAATATATTCCCAGCATGTCACTTTTCCATTAAAGCACTAAGTTTTCTTTGAATGTTCCATTGTTCCGATAAGTATTTTACTTTTTTCTCAGTACATCAGAGAGAGCGTGATCCCCCTACAGCTGTCACTTCCAAATGTTCCTGTAGCATAAATGGTGTTACAGACACTGAGGTGCACTCTTGGTTTCTGAGCAGAGTTGTCATACTGGTTTCCTGGTCTCTAGGGCACTGGGGATGTACTTTGAAATCACCGAACAGGCTTGCAATTAAGATCAATAAGGCTGCAGCACCATTTCAATTTACTTTCCATCTTACCCAGTAGTTTTTGTGTTTTTAAATTCGTTTGGGTGGTTATGTTTGCATGCTTAAGCACACATTTGAAAATTAATTATAGCTGTACTACCCGATGTTTTTCCTTGGGGATGATGGCCTTGTTCCTTTTTAAATTCTGATGCTTGAATTCTATTTTCTAGTGATTTTTCACATCTCCCTTTAAGTTTTTGCTGCAGCAATTTGAGAGAGTACTTTTGATTAAATGATTCTGATGGTGGGCACCAATCTACAACTATGTCATTAACTGAAGATACATGTTTTAATCTTGTTGGGAATAAGCTTACCCACTTTCTCCTTGGTAAAGCGTTTACTTAACAAAATAATACCCGAGAATGTAAGGTCTCTAAGTCATTACTAACAAAGAGCAAAAATAATATCTGCAGTATTGTTTTTCCCATTGATTTTAAGTCAGTTTAGAGTACAAACTGTATATTAGAATTTGCCTGTAAAATGAATTCTAAAAAGCAGATGTAAAGTCTCTCCTGAAAATGTTGGCATAGTAAATAAAAATAAAGTTCATAATTATAAAAGTTCTCTTGTCTTTCTCAACATTGACTCCCATAGTTTGCTTTTTCTTTGATATCTTTTTTCCCACAAAGATCTAAGATACTGTTCATTTGCTTATGTTTTTCCCAACTCTGATACTTTATTTTACATGCTGCCTTCACACACATCTTGACACCCCAAGCCCTGATTGAGTAGGAGTTGATCAGTATTTTGTTGTTGTGTCTTCACAAATTCTGTAAGAGATCTAGTACTTTCGTTTCCATTGTAATAAAATACCTGCTTTATCTTAGAATATTGGGATAATGGTTAATGGACATTTCAAGAAACATTAGCACCTTGGATTTAGAATGCTGTACAAGGAAGAAAACACTTGTAATTTTAATTATTTTGTCATTGTTTTTAAGCAGTATACAAAATAGCTTGAGGCAAGAAAGGTGTTTAGTGAAATTTTACATAATTTTTAGGAACAAAAGGAGTAAGGAATATATATTTTTTCAGTTTTACAGTTTAGTCAGATGCGATAGTCCCGTAATAAGAGACAAAAAAGTTGATGCAGTGGTATGTTATTAATCCAAAATGTTTACACGAATTCTGGGAAAGGAGGGAAATTTTATTAATAGTTTGATAATAGCACTTATTACCTCTTAAGACACCTGTATGAACTTTAAGGCCATCTGAGTTCTTAGTGTTGCAGAATTTTGCTCCTTAGGTCGGCTAAATCGGGGTTCTTGTGTCAGGACCAGGAAAATGTAGACACATGGACACATTGAAGTGTGTGGGGAATGGAATTCATTGGGCAAAAAGGAAAAAAAAACTCAGCAAAGCAAGGGGGGAATCCTGCTAACAGGCCCCCACCTCACAGATAAGTTCCAGGCCACCACACATGTGAGCTGAAGAGCTCAGGCTCTTCCCTCCTGCCCAAGGCTGGAACTTCCCGTGGCTCCACCCAGTTCTCCCAGTGCACAAGCTGGTTGGAGATTCTCTGAGGACCCTCCCCCTTATTGGCCTTCTGCATCTATCATTAGCAAGTACTTTCTTATACTAAAAATTTTCCCTTTTAATTTTGTCATTAAGTGTAGTCATTTCAGTTTCTTCATTTATGCTGTTGATTGCGCGTTTTCCATTGTGAAAATATTTTATCCCTACAGAAAAGACAAGCATGAGTTAAAGAATTGACTTCTTCCTCTGTTAACTTGGTTTAAGTAAGTTTGATGGGATGTCTTACCTGTGTCACTTGCTGTGCTGGCTGCAGGGTGTACAAAGGTAACGATGATACAGGTTCTGCCTTATGGAGCTTAGGAACCCTAGGGGATTTTTAACATCATCCGATCCATTGCAGCACTGAGCCCTTCCCTTGCATTCCCTGTTTATTATCTTCCTTTGAACCTACCAGTCTCTTTTGACGTTTCCTCTTCAGTTTCATTTCATTCTGGGCTTTAACTCCCTTGCACTATTCTCCTCTTGGATTCTATATTATGTTTATTCTTGTTTGGTTGCATGCCTTCATTTCCCTAGAAAACCTGGCCTTTTATTATTTTATCCAAGAACGAACTTCCTCTTTAGCCACTATTAAATACTCTGCTTTCTACTTTAGGTTCTTGGAATTTGATTTTAAGACTTCTCGACTATCCTAAGGCCACTGTCCCTTTTAGAACCTCAACCCATAAGATGTTGCTTTCTGAAGTCTACCTTTAACATTCAAATTCATGTCCGGGCTTTTCCTTCCATCCCATTCTCTTGGATAGATCAAATATAATATGGTCTACTTGATGTTTTCAGTTTCTATTTTAATTTTTAATTTTTATGGATATATAATAATTATACATATTTATTAAATACCTGTTATTTCGATACAAGCATACACTATAATCTGTGTAATTGGGATATCCATTGCCTCATTTATTTCTTTGTGCTAGGAATATTTCAATACTACTCTTCTGGTTATTTTGAAATATACAATAAATTATTGTTAACTATGGTCACTGTACTGTGCTACTGAACACTAGGTCCTATTCATTCTAACTGTATTTTTGTACCCATTAACCATCCCCTCTTTATCCCACCTCCCCACCACCCTTTCCAGCCTTTGGTAACCACTATTCTACTCTCTACCTCTGTTAGATCATTTCTTTTTTATCTTCCACATGAGTGAGAATGTGCAACATTTGTCTTCCTGTATGTGGCTTATTTCACATAATGACCTCCAGTTTCATTCATGTTGTTGCTGGTTTCCTACCATTTCTTGCCATGGAGTCTCTAAGGAGGAATTTAGGTCATCCAGAGAAGCCTTTTCCTCACTGATGAATTCTCCCACCCACCCATGCACACAGCCCTCAAATTAGCATCTTTTCTGTGCAAAAATCAGAGAGGAAGAAACAGTTCCTCACAGGCACTTCTCTGGTTTCTCAACCTGAAAAATGGTATTGCTACTTTCCAGATCTCAAAACAACCCACTCCTTAATCCTCACATGAATTCATTCAGACACCCATTTTGAGTATGAATAATCCTTTGGTAATACTTTAAGTGATTACAGAACAAATGCTTTCTGCAGCAAAAGTATACCTGAAATATCAGTCTACTAAAGTGAAAGGTAACTATTCCCCACAAGAAACATGGTTGAAATGCTTGTTTTGTGCACAGCCCTCGTTTCTGTCTCGTGGCAGGAGGTGGATGAGACGGAGACCCTGCGATTGAAGAGATCAAATTGCAACATGACAAGAAGGATCCCAAACAAAGCACTGTAAGAGAGCCAGTGGGCAGGAAGGGGACGTTTGGGACCACAGGTGAACTCGCTTCCAAAACCATTCATCCTTGACAAATGTGCATGTGTGTTAGGATTTCTTTTTAATTACAGCTAAATAAAAACTAGGCCACTATCACATAACCTGTAGTGGTAACGATACATTCCACGAACCTGAGGCCTTTTTAAGCACGTATCAGTTCAAAATACTTCTGAATTATCAGGAATTTAAAAAATTTTCACAAGTTTTAGCTGAGGTTTTGCATTTATAGTAGGTCAAGTGCAAATGTGAATTGCAATGAAAAACAAAAGTAATAGGAGTTGTGATGGATTGTTAATGCAAATGGTTTCTTAAATTGTGTTCCAGAGTTTTGCTGAGATGCAAACACAGATGCTCTAAACTCCCTGCTGCCAGGGGCCGCCTCCACCAGGTTCAAAGATTCAGGACTAGTCAGAGCTCACAGGAGGTGTTTGGGAAAGGGTTTGGGCCAGACCTGGGCACTCAGAACCCTGGTCCTTGGTCTGACTACTCTCATTCTAAGAAAAATTTCAACTAAGGGAAGGAAAGCAGAGCACACAGTGCTTTCCTGCCTTTCAGAGCTCGTAAAGAATTCAAGGGGGAAGCAAAGGAGACCATGGACTTAGAACTATTTGTGAATATTACAAGAAGCATTACTGAAGTCACAGAACAAACCACCAAAGTACAAAGGGCCAATATAACAGAACAAATTAATGATTTTTGCTATTAGTCAAAGAGATGCAAAACAGAATGGCGTGCTACTTACATACCTTTACATGCAAAGAACTGTTTAAAAGAGTGGAGCATTGGAAAAAAAAAGTCTGACAGTAGGAGAATGATTACATTATTTATATGACAAGATGATGCCACAGTCAGCTAATGCTCTTGGGGAATATTTACTCAAAATATGTATAACAATATTTATTCAAAATATTCATATTACAACTGAGGACAAAAGCAAATTTACGAATCCATGAATGTAGTACAATGTGAATACATATATGCTTATAAATACCTATATAAAAGAATAACTTCTTAATGGCTGAATTATTGGCCATTTTTTAATCTTTTTATATATTTTCTGTTTTTTAAAAATGGTGAGACTATGCTCTTATAATCAAAATTGCATGTGTATGTCTGTGTGTTTAATAACAGGGTCATTTCTGTTGCCCAGGCAACATTTGTAAGGCACCTGGCGTATAGGCATCCAATAATTAATCTCCCTTGCCACAGATTTAATGAGTGGTCTTTGTCATCATGGGATGATGTTTCAGAAAATTTTAAGTCACTTATTCAATGACATAGCAAATGGCCTATCTCCCTAACCTCAAAACTAGTAAGACTGCATTATTGTTTTACTCCTTTTTTTGTTCTGGTAATTGGGGTTGGGAACACATTACCTTATGAATCAGGATCCGTCCACTGTCAGTGACAAAATCTATTTCTGCCAAACTTGAATAGTTTGTTCCCTTAGCATGGAAGCTTGGAGAGATTCGTCCTTATTTATGTCAACCCTTCTCTGTGTTCTTTGTGTAGTATTTTCTTATTAGTCATCAGTTCCGTCTACACCATCCCAAATAGGAGTGCCCTAAACAAAATCTTTATAGACTGACAAGTCCTTTCCAGCGTCCTGCTGCATGAGGGCTGTTTGCTGTGGGATGTCAACTCTTAGTATATTAACTGGACCTTAGTGCGTAGTGTGACGGAATGCAAATTGCATTGAACACATTTTTATAGCATGGCTTGTGGTGCTGGAAACCAGAAAAGACAGATCCCAGGGCTTTGCCCCACACACTAGTTACAGGATTGAGGATTCCTCTGGTTTGTTCAGCCACTGCTCTGCTGCCTCCTGCCTCCCAGGCTGGGATGAGCTAAAGAACAGGCCATCTAATTCTGCTCACTGGTTTCGAGCCACGGAAGGAGACCTTAACCTTTAATTATAACGTTTACTTATGGTTTCCTTAAAGCTAAGCCAGTGCTACTCTGGTTTGGGGTGAGTGGGGAAAGCCTACTAGAGTCCAGTTGCCCAGCTCTCAGCAGCACAAGGCCTGGTCAGAGCTTCCTTCCTTAAGGAGCAAACACACAAGACTGCATGAAAGAAATAGGACAGGAAAAGGAATCCTAAAGCAAGCAACTGTGTTAAAATCCAAGCAGGTATTGACTTCTTTTGTACAAAGAAGTAAAATTTTTCCCACAACAACTACTTTTCTCTTTTTATCAATATTTAATTTTCTGTAACCACACTTCACCACCACTTTTCTAATAACTTTTAACTGCAAAGTTATGTGACCATTTTTCTCTGCCTGAGAAAATGGGATTTTTTTTTCTTTTCTTCTGAATACTGCCCTCCCCGCAGCCCCTCCCAACCCCCCGCCCTGTGACAACCTCAGAACATCAAAGGCAAGTGTTTTATGCACCGTGTACATTCACTGTCTGGCTCTCTGCCAGGCTGGAGGGGAGAGCAGAGACTTGTGCTGGCCAGGTCAGGCTCTGTGCACAGGGATTTGGGCTGCGGGGGAAGCTGCTCTTTATCCTCTTCTGCCTTAGAGCAGGCAAGATGGGAACACTCTTCTTAGCATCTTTTAATCCATGTTGTCTGTGCTCTGTCACTCCCGCTTCTGAGTATTCCCAATAGTCAAAAGAATTTTGCCCAGTTTCCCTCAGTCCTTTGCATTACACATTATAAATTACATTTGAAGACACATCTTTGCATAAGGCATCAGGCCCTGTAAGCCACCCCATCCCCATCCCCACTCAACACTCACTGGTGAGATGATAAGCCATTTTTTAAATGTTTATTTTATTTTATTTTTTTG
Source organism: Homo sapiens (assembly GCF_000001405.40). Lineage (NCBI taxonomy): Eukaryota > Metazoa > Chordata > Mammalia > Primates > Hominidae > Homo > Homo sapiens. The sequence goes on from NC_000010.11 coordinate 84,524,071, forward strand.
AGATGGAGTCTCACTCTATCACCCAGGCTTGAGTGCAGTGGTGCGATCTTGGCTCACTGCAACCTCCACATCCCGGGTTCAAGGGATTCTCCTGCCTCAGCCTCCTGAGTAGCTGGGATTACAGGCGCCCGCCACCACTCCTGGCTAATTTTTTTTTTTTTTTTTTTTTTGTAGAGACTGGGGTTTTACCATGTTGGCCAGGCTGGCTTTGTACTCCTGACCTCAGGTGATCCACCCACTTTGGCCTCCCAAAATGCTGAGATTACAGCATGAGCCACTGTGCTTGCCAAACCATTTTTTTTCAAGTAGGTTAGTTTTCAAAAGCTGTGTGGTCTCATTTTACTGTTTTTTGTTTGTTTGTTTGTTTGAAGAGTCATTACTTTATTGAAGCACATTTTACATATATAATTTATTCCAAGTATACAATTAAGAGATTTTTTATAATAAAAAAATTAGCTGAGCCTGGGGTGACATGCACCTGTGGTCTCAGCTACTTGACAGCCTGAGGTGGGAGGATCACTTGAGCCCAGGAGGTCAAGGCTGCAGTGAGCTGTGATTACACCACTGCACTCCAGCCTGGGTGACAAAGTGAGACCCTGTCTCAAAAAAAAAAAAAAAAGATTTTTTAGTAAGTTTACCAAGTGTGCAACCTTTGCCATTTAGAATATTAGAATATTTCCATTACCCCAACTGTTAATCTCTGCCCCCTCTTGATTAAGCCAAGCATCATCTACTTTTTGTCTCTATTTATTTGCTTTTTCTGGACCTTTCACATAAATAAAATCATATCAGATGTATTCTCTGTGTCTGCTTTCTTCCACTTAGCATAACAATTTTGAAGTTCACCAAAAATCATAGCATGAATCACATCATTTTTATTGTTGAATAATATTCCATTATATGAGCATACTTTATTTTGTCTATTCATTCACCAGTTTGTAGACATTTACATTGTTTCTAATTTTTGGCAATTATGAATACTACTGCTAGCAACGTTTATGTGTAAGTCTTTGGACATATTGAGAGAGGAGGAAGGAAGAAACCCATCAGGCAGGCAATTAAGGGGGGTCCTGGGTTGAGTTCTTTCAGACAAAAGAACAGCCTGCAGGCACAGATAAGAGACCTTGCACAGTGGGGCTAGCCTGAGACATGCCCACAGCCTCACAGATAAGAGCGGCTATACAGGAGATTTGTCTAGACATGCCTGCAATGGAAAATTCTGTCCCCTGACACGTGCACAGTAAGGGGAACAAAACAATGTGGAGTAACTCAAGCTAAGGACCCACATGCACATTAGGAGTGTTACCAGGGGGTCCTTGCTCCCAGAGCTCTCAAGATGGTGGCAGGCCGCTACCAAGATAGCGGCAAGCCTCTTGTTCTCTGACCTGGGATTCTTGGCCTCATGGATTCCAAGGAATGGAATCTTGGGCCATGCAGTGAGTGTTATAGCTCTATTAGAAGCCGTGGGTCACGGCAGAGAACTGTGGAACCCAGCGACTAGGGTTCAGCTCGATTAGGACAAACCTGGGCACTTAGCCATGGAGGAACAATGGCAAGCCTTTAGCCTGATCGGGAGTGGCAATGGGTGCCTCACTGGATCGGGAGCACAGCGGACACCCTGCCAGATCCGGAGGGGTGGAAGTCAGCGGCGGGTATGCGAGGGCGGCAAACAGCAGTGGTGGATGGTGAGCAAAAGCTCAGCTCGAGCTGTAACACAAACATGGACCAAAACAGTGTGCAGTTGCAAGATTTAAGAGTGAAAACAGAGCTCCCATACAAAGGGAGGGGACCCAAATGGGGTAGCCGTTGCCAGCTCGAATGCTGGGTTTATATCCCGATCATTGTCCCTCCCGCTGTGCTCTGAGGCGATAGATGATTGGCTATTTCTTTACCTTCTGTTTTTGCCTAATCAGCATTTTAGTGAGCTCTCTTTACTACATGATTGGTCAAGTGTGAATTAAGTTGCAAGCCCTTTGTTTAAAGGTGGATGCAGTCACCTTCCCAGCTAGGCTTAGGGATTCTTAGTTGGCCTAGGAAATCCAGCTAGTCCTGTCTCTCAGTACCCCCTCTCAACAAGAAAACCCAAGTGCTGTTGGGGAGGTTGGCCGACGACCACTCTAACTGCTTCCTGCTGAATTGGGGCATAGTAGGAGTTGTGCAGTTGAGATTTCCTTGGGAGGGGTGCCTTCGATGTCATTAACATTGGAGCATGGGCTAGAAGGCCAGTCCAGGGGTCTGCAGTAGATCTTAGTTATGGACTGCATCTGGGGTTCCATTTGAAGAACCATTTATAGTTTTACAGTTTCCATTCTGGAAGAGACAAACTTAACAAGGAGGTTAAAGATACAGGGATTGAAGTGTATGGCCTGAAGTGCAGGGGATTATTTCTTTGGCATGCTTCACAGGCCCTGACTGTCTACTTGATAGTTTTGAAAAGGCCTGGTCCAGTAAATAATGATTTGGCCCTCTGATGGGTGCTATCAATGCCTAAGTGAAAGGTTTGGTGAAGGATTTTAAGTAATTTCCATTGGTTAACTATAAGCAAAAGTATTTTTTCCTTTTCAGTGGCTAGCCATCCTAAGGGGAGGAAACTATGTCCTTGTGAGGTTCCCCATTCTATTTCTTCTGCTGAGTACTGGGGCTTGGTTTCCCAGAGGGGATTACCCCATACTAGTGGTCCTTCTATAAGCATTTCTAACGGAGGGTCTCACCTTGAGGCTCCTTTGGCTTCAATATCTGCTTGGCTGTTCCCTTCTATTTCCCTTTCCTTTCCGATGAGCCTGGTAGTGTAAGACTGCCACCTCTTTAGGTTTCTGTACAGCCAATAATAATCTCCTAATGGCTTCCTGATGTGTGATAGGTGTTCCTTTGGAAGTTAGGAATTCCCTTTCTCTCCATATTGCTGCGTGGGCATGGAGGACTAGGTAAGCATACTTAGAGTCTGTATATATATATTTACCCTTTTTCCTTCTCCTAATTCTAGTGTATAATGGCCCCTGCTTTTGCTAGTATGTCTCTCCCTAACAAAGGAGTGGGGCTTTCAGGCATAATTAGAAAGGCATGTGAAAACAGTAAAGTTCCCCAGTCACAACTTAGTGGCTGGGAGAAGTATCTAGTGACTGCCTGTCCTAGGACCCCTCGGATAGTGACAGATCTGGAGGACAGTTGTCCAGGACAGGAGAGAAAGACTGAGAAGGCCGCGCCAGTGTCCAGGAGACAGTTAACCTCCTGGCCCTTAATGGTCAAACATACCCGGGGGCTCTGTGAGGGTGATGGCATGGGCTGGCACTTGCCCCCGGCACCCTCAGTCCTGCTGCTGGATCATCTGGTTAGTGGCTTCTGACTCAGAGGACCTTTGTCCCCCGGGGCAGTGGGCCTTCCAGTGATTCCCTTGACATAAGGGGCATGGATGAGGGGGCGGCTTATGTCTATTCAGACAATCTTTTTTAGTGTCCTTGTAGACCATACTGGAAGCAAGCCCTATTAGGCATTCGATTTGCCCAGACTTTCTGTGTTCCAGAGCCTCCAAAGTCTGCTTGCCTGAGGGCCATGACTAAAGCAGTGGCCTTTTTCTTATCTCGTTTGTCCAGTTCTACCTGTTCCTCCTGATCTCTATTATAAAAAACCGAGGTTGCCAAGTTTAATAGGGTTTCTAAGTTTTGCTCCAGGCCTAAGGTAGACTTTTGAAGTTTTTTTTTTAATGTCTGCAGCTGACTGAGTGATAAATTTATCCTTTAAGATTAGTTGGCCTTCAATAGAGTCAGGTGACAAAGAGGTATGCTTCCTCAATGCCTCCCTTAGTCTCTCCAGAAAGGCAGTAGGATTTTCTTCCTTTCCCTGTGTTATAGTGGACATCATTGAATAATTTATAGGCTGCTGCTTAGTTTTCTTTAGTCCTTCTAGCACGCAAGTTAGTAAATGTCTGCAGCACCAATCTCCATGTTCTAATTCTGCATCCCAATGAGGGTCTACACTGGGAACTGCCTGCTGGCCTGTGGGGAATTGTTCTCTTTCCTCTGTTGTCGTTCTATCATTGATCTGACTGAGATACCAGAGATCGCTGAACTCTCGGGCTGCAGTTATGGTGGCACTTCTCTCATTTGGGGTTAGTGTCTGATCTAGCAGTAACATTATATCTCTCCATGTCAGATTAAAGGATGATTGTCCTAACCGTTATAAAACATCAATATAGCCATCAGAGTTATCTGAGAATTTACCTGGGTCTATTTTAATTTGCTTCAAGTCTGACAGGGAAAAAGGTACATACACTCTGACCAGGCTGAATTCTCCAGAATACATCTTAGGGTAGTTTTTGTCTTGGGGGGAATGTTTCCCATCTGAAAAAAAAAGACAACCTTGGGAGGCCAGCACCCCTAGTCATTTCCTGATGAGCATTAGTCCTAGAGCGTCCTCTATGGTCCTAATGCTTATTCCTTTCCAGGGTGCATAATCACCCATGGACCTCTGCTTATCAGATTAGTTACGCTCACCGACGTAGCAGTCCTGCATCCTTTTTCCCACATTTCTTGACCACAAAGAAAGGGGTCTGGGCTGCTGGATTCGAATGGTCCTTTACCAGTGTGCCCAACATTGCCTTTGTGCTCAGGGATGAGTCCTAGAGCAGGGCTGGGTTCCTGAGTATTTCATAACAACCCAGTTGCCCCATCAGGATGCATTCCCATAAACAACAGTTCTTGTGCAAATTCGTTTCAGAGAGGGTGTAGGTAACCTTTTGAGTCAGGATTGAGATAGAGTTTTTTGATTCTGTAAGTACTTTAAGACTTGGCTGAGTGCAAACAGCTCTAACATTTGAGGAGACCAATTATTAGGCAATTCTTCTAACTCTGCTTCCACAAGAGTCTCCCTATCAATTACTGAATATCCATTGTGGTTTTTTTTTCTCAATCACCTGGGAGGAACCATCTATCCTTGTCCTGAAGGGAGTTCCTCCTAGGTCTGGTCAGACCTTTGATTAGTAATTAATATTTAAATCTCCTGTTAGGAAACCTGCTGGGTTAAGGGAATTTTCAGTGGTTAATGTTAAGTCACCTTTTTCTAACAGAATAGCCTCATACTTTAAGATTTGAGTTAGTAAGCTACCTTTTTGCTTTTTTGACTAAGGATAATTCTGAACTGGTGAGGTGTGCTCACAATGAGGTTTCCTCTAAAAGTTATTTTTCTACTTTCTTCTGTTAGCAAAGCGGTTGCTGCTACAGACTGAATGCATTTGGGTCATCCGCGGGTTACTGGGTTAAGGATTTTTGATAGGAAGGCTACGGGTTGTCAGTGGTCTCAGTGTTTTCAGGCTATGCCCTTGTTTTCACTGACAACAAGGTAGTATTGGAGTGTTATAGGGTCATGGAGAAGACCTTCAATTATCAATTATAAGTTTTAAATTTACTCTGGCTTTTAAAGGAATAGGGCACACTTTTTTCTTTACTACTTCTATCTTTCTCTTTCTTTCTCTCTTTGACTCCCTCCTTGTCTCTCTCTCTCTCTCCCCTCTGTCTCTCTCTCTCTCTCTCTCTTTTCTCCTAGCCCTTTACAAACATGGGGGCCTGGCAAGGGTGGTGGGGAACAGGTCCCATATAACTGCCTATGTTGAGAGCTGTATGCCTAAATTGGGAGGGACAACAGGGACAAGACTCTCTGGGTTCATAGCCTAGGGGCCTATGGATGCAGAGTAGAGCTTCCTTAGATCCCTTTGGAAATACAACTTGCTAGAGGAAATGAAAGTCTGAACCATTATTACCTAGGAGGCAGGGATTGGAGGAAGTAGATTCAGAGGTAAGGAGAATTTTGGGGCTACACTTTCAAGAAAGTTGTGGTTGGGACCCAGGAGGTATGGGTCAGAAGGAAAGGTAGGGGCGCACACATGGGCGACTGTTGAATAGAGACTTCTGGCTGCACCATGATCTCAACTGGTTAATGCCGGGAGTTCAGAACGACAGCTTTCTGCCTCTAGTCGGCCCTTGGCTTCCCCAGGAAAATTGAAAGTGGAAGCTGGTTTTAGGCAGACCAACACTCCCAACCCAGAAGGGTTGGGGGTTGTTAGAAAGCCCTTCCCCAGACAGCCTCACACCTGAGTCTTAAGTCCCACGGCCACGCTAATCGTTTTTAACAGGCTGATGGGTGCCTGATATTTTCCTCCAGTTCTAAGGAAGGATAGTACAGAATAGCAAGTGAAAGTGGTCCAATGTTACTCACCGCTTTGGAGGTCCTTACATGGTTGTCAAAATGTTACTGTGGGGGGACCTTGCTCCCAGAGCTCCCAAGATGGTGGCAGGCCACTTCCAAGATGGCAGCAAGCCTCTTATTCTCTGACCTGGGGTTCTTGGCCTCACGGATTCCAAGGAATGGAATCTTGGGCCATGTGGTGAATGTTATAGCTCTATTAGAAGCCATGGGTCATGGAAGAGAACCGTGGCATCCAGCGACTAGTGTTTAGCTCGATTAGGACAAACCCAGGCACTTAGCCATGCAGGAACAATGGCAAGTCTTTAGCCCAATCGGGAGCAGCAATGGGCGCCTCACTGGATCAGGAGCACAGCGGACACCCTGCCAGATCCAGAGGGGTGGAAGTCAGCGGCGGGTCTGCAATGGTGGCAAATGGCAGTTGTGGATGGCAAGCGAAAGCTCAGCTCGAGCCATAACAAACATGGACCAAAACAGCGTGCAGTTGCAAGATTTAATAGGGTGAAAACAGAGCTCCCATACAAAGGGAGGGGACCCAAAGTGGGTAGCCATTGCTGGCTCGAATGCCTGGTTTATATCCCAATCATTGTCCCTCCCGCTGTGCTCTGAGGCGATAGAAGATTGGCTATTTCTTTACCTTCTGTTTTTGCCTGATTAGCATTTTAGTGAGCTCTCTTTACTACCTGATTGGTCGAGTACGAGCTAAGTTGCAAGACCCTTGTTTAAAGGCGGATGTGGTCACCTTCCCAGCTAGGCTTAGGGATTCTTAATCGGCCTAGGAAATCCAGGTAGTCCTGTCTCTCAGGAGGATGGGGTGGAGCTACCAGAAATACATGCCTTATGCAAATGAGACATGCAGCTCTCATTGGTTTCTTTTAAAGCCTCTGTACTCAGCTGTGAAACAGCAACCCTTTTTTAGGACCCCTCTCTGTGGCAGAGAGCTTTCTCTCTTTCTTTCCCTTATTAAACTTCTGCTGTAACCTCACCCTTGGCATGTATGTGTCCTTGATTTCCTCGGCTGTGAGACAAAGAACTTCAGGTGGCACCCCAGAAAATGAGGCCATTTCAATATATTTTTGTTTCTCTTGGGTAGATACCTAAGAGTGGAATTTGCTGGATCATATGAAAAATTGATGTATAACTTGTTAAGAAGCTGCCAAACTGTTTTTCAAGTTGGCTTCACCATTTTATGTCCCTAGTAGCGATGTATAAGTGTTCCCATTTCTCCACATTCTTGACATTTGTTACTGTATATTTTATTATAGCCATTGTGCTGCATGTGAAATGGTGTCTCATTGTGCTTTTGCTTTGTGTTTTCCTAATGACTAATACAATGAGCATCTTTTCATGTGCTTTGCTTATTAGACATTCATACACCTTCTTTGGTGAAATATCCATTTAAATCTTTGTCCATGGTTTTTGATGGGCTTGCTTATCAAGTATGAGCATTCTTTGTATATTCTAGATACAAGTCACTATCAGATACGTGTTGTGCAGATATTTTCTCAGTCTGTTGTTTGTCTATGTCTTTTGGGGCATAAGAGTTTTTTGATTTTGATGAAGTCAAATTTATCAATTTTTTTCTTTTGTTTTTTGCTTTTGGTGTTATATCTAAGAAATTTTTGCCTTGCCCAAGGCCTTGAGGGTTTTCTCCTATGTCATCTTCTAAAAGTCATATTGTTTTAGCTCTTACGTGTAAGTCTGTGATCCACTTTGAGTTAATTTTTGTGTATGGAATGAGGTGGGGGTTAAAGCTCATCTTTTTGCATGTGGATACCAAATTGTCTCACCACTATTGGTTAATAGGGCTATCCTTTACCCAAGGCACTCTCTTGGCACTTTTGTTGAAAGTAAATTGAATGTAAATAAAAGAATTTATTGTCTGGATGGTCAGCTCTGTTCTGTGGATCCATACATCTGTTCTCATACCAGACCACACTGTCTTCATAATTGTATTATAGCTTTACAGTAAGTTTTGAAGTTAGGAAATTAAAGTCCTCCAAATTTGCTCTTCTTTTTCAAAATTTATTTGGCTATTCATGGTCTTTTATAAGTCCATATAAATTTTAGGATCATATTGTTAAGTTCTGCAAAAATGCATGCTGGAATTTTGATAGGAATTGCATGGAAACTATTCAGTTTGGGAAGAATAGTCATCTTGTCAACACTGAATTTTCCGATCCATGAACATGAAATGTCTCTAAAATTATATAGATTTTTAAAATTTCCCTCAGCAATGTTTTATAATTTTCAGTGTAAAAATCTTATACTTCTTTTGTTAAATTTATTCCTAAGTATTTTATTTTTTGTTGCTGTTGTGCAAGGAATTGTATCCTTAATATCTTTTTCAGATTGTTCATTGTTTATACATAGAAGTGCAATTGATTTTTGTATACTGATCCTGTATCCTGAGACTTACTGTGCTTACGATATGGTTTGGCTGTGTCCCCACCCAAATCTCATCTTGAATGTTAGCTCCCATAATTCCCATGTGTTCTGGGAGGGACCCAGTGGGAGATAATTGAATCGTGGGAGCAGGTCTTTCCTGTGCTGTTTTCATGGTAGTGAATAAGTCTCACGTGATCTATGGTTTTATAAAGGGGAGTTTCCCTGATCATTCTCTCTCTTGTCTGCCACTGTGTAAGATGTGCCTTTCACCTTCTGCCACGATTGTGAGGCTTCCTCAGGTATGTGGAACTGTGAGTCCATTAATATAAATTACCGAGTTTTGGGTATGTCTTGATCAGCAGCATGAAAACAGATTAATACAGTAAATTGGTACTGAGAGTGGGATGCTGCCGTAAAGATATCTGAAAATGTGCAAGCAACTTTGGAACTGAGTAACAGGCAGAACTTGGAACAGTTTGGAGGGCTCAGAAGAAGGCAGGAAAATGTGGGGAAGTTTGGAACTTCCTAGAGACTTGGAGGGCTCAGAAGACAGGAAGATGTGGGGAAGTTTGGAACTTCCTAGAGACTTGTTGAATGGCTTTGACCAAATTGCTTACGGTGATATGGACAATAAGGTCCAGGCTGAGGTGGTCTCAGATGGAGATGAGGAACTTGTTGGGAAGTGGAGTAAAGGCCACTCTTGCTATGCAAAGAGATTGGCAGCATTTTGCCCCTGCCCTAGAGATATGTGGAACTTTGAATTTGAGAGAGATGATTTAGGGTATCTGGTGGAAGAAATTTCTTTCTTTTTTTTTTGAGACGGAGTTTCACTCCTGTTACTCAGGCTGGAGTGCAATGGTGCAATCTCGGCTCACCACAAACTCCGCCTCTCGGGTACAAGCGATTCTCCTGCCTCAGCCTCCCGAGTAGCTGGGATTATAGGCATGCATCACCACGCCTGGCTAATTTTGTATTTTTAGTAGAGATGGGGTGTCTCCATGTTGGTCAGGCTGGTCTCGAACTTCCAACCTCAGGTGATCCGCCTGCCTCAGGCTCCCAAAGTGCTGGGATTACAGGCATGAGCCACCACGCCCAAACATGGTGGAAGAAATTTTGAAGCAGGAAAGTGTTCAAGAGGAAGCAGAGCACAAACATTTGGAAAATTTGCAGCCTGATGATGTGATAGAAAAGAAAAACCGATTTTCTGGGGAGAAATTCAAGCCGGCAGCAGAAATTGGGTAAGTAACAAGGAGTCCAATGTTAATCACCAAGCAAATGGGGAAAATGTCTCCAAGGCATGTCAGAGAACTTCAAGGCAACCCCTCCAATCACAGGCCAGAGACGTAGGAGGGTTTCCTGGGCCGGGTCCAGGGCCTTATGCTGTGTACAACTCAGGGACTTGCTGCCCTGTGTCCCAGTTGCTCCAGCTGTGGCTAAAAGGTGCCAAGGTACAGCTCGGGCTGTGACTCCAAATGGTGCAAGCCCCAAGCCTTGGCAGCTTCCACGTGGTGTTGAGCCTGCAGGTGCACAGAAGTCAAGAATTGAGGTTTGTGAACTTCTGTGTAGATTTCAGAGGATGTATGGAAACACCTGGATCTCCAGGCAAAAGTTTGCTGCAGGGGTGGGGCCCTCATGGAGAACCTCTGTGAGGGCAGTGCAGAAGGGAAATATGGGGTCGAGCTCTCACACAGAGTCCCTACTGGGGCACCACCTAGTGGAGCTGTAAGAAGAGGGCCACCCTCCTCCAGACCCCAGAATGGTAGATTCACCAACAACTTGCACCATGCAACTGGTAAAGCCTCAGACACTCAATGCCAGCCTGTGAAAGCAGCCAGGAGAGGTGCTGTATCCAGCAAAGCCTCAGGGGCGGAGCTGCCCAAGGCCATGGGAGCCCACCTCTTCTGTCAGCATGACCTGAATGTGAGACACGGAGTCAAAGGAGATCATTTTGGAACTTTAAGATTTAATGACTTCCCTACTGGGTTTTGGACTTGCATGGGACCTGTGGCCCCTTTGTTTTGGCCAATTTCTCCCATTTGGAGTGGGTTTATTTGCCCAGTGCCTGTAACCCCATTGTATCTAGGAAGTATCTAACTTGCTTTTGATTTTACAGGCTTATAAGGTGGAAGGGACTTGCCTTGTCTCAAATGAGACTTTGCTGAAAGAAGACTTTGGGGGACTGTTGGGAAGGCATGATATGTTTTGAAATGTGAGGACATGAGATTTGGGAGAGGTTAGGGGTGGAATAATATGGTTAGGCTGTATCCTCACCCAAATCTCAGTTTGAATTGTAGCTCCCGTAATTACCACATGTTATGGGAAGGACCCAGTGGGAGGTAATTGAATCATGGGGGTGGGTATTTCCTGTGCTGCTGTTTTTGTAGTGAATAAGTCTCACGAGATCTGACGGTTTTAAAAAAGGGAGTTCCCCTGCTCATTCTCTCTCTTGCCTGCCTCCACATAAGAAATGCCTTTCGGCCGAGCGTGGTGGCTCACGCCTATAATCCCAGCACTTTGGGAGGCTGAGGCGGGTGGATCACTAAGTCAGGAAATCGAGACCATCCTGGCTAACATGGTGAAACCCCGTCTCTACTAAAAAATATAAAAAATCAGCCAGGTGTGGTGGCGGGCGCCTGTAGTCCCAGCTGCTCAGGAGGCTGAGGCAGGAGAATGGCGTGAACCCGGGAGGCGGAGCTTGCAGTGAGCCGAGATCGCGGCACTGCACTCCAGCCTGGGCGACAGAGCGAGACTCCGTCTCAAAAAAAAAAGAAAAAAAAAAAAAAAAGAAATGCCTTTCATCTTCCACCATGATTGTGAGGCCACCCCAGCCACATGAAACTGTGAGTCCATTAAACTTCTTTTCCTTTATAAATTACCCAGTCTTTGGTATATCTCTATCAGCAGGATTAAAGCAGACTAATAGATCTTTGTATTAGTTCTGATAGTGCTTTTATGGGTTCCTTGGGATCTTCTGCACACAGGAGCTTGTCATCTACAGTAGACAGTATTACTTTTCCTTTCCCAGTGTGGATGCCTTTGTTCCCCACCTTGTACTTGCCTGATTGCACAGCCCCCTTTTCTCTCAAGGCTGATGCTGCTGAAGCTGGAACCCCCAAGAGAGATTGACTCCCCGTGGCCATAGACCTATGCTGTGACCTTTGGTGGCCCAGGAGGATAGCAGCAATGAGCCACAGCTGCCTTCCAACTTTGTGGGGGTGGGAAGGCAAAGCCTGTGCTCACTGTCAGATGTCCATCACAGGCCCATGTGGCCATGGGGCATGGCCCCAGGTCTCTGGACCCTCTAATTTGGGATCCCTAGTTCTGAGAGCCCCACTGAAGATTTTGCATCTGATTCCTACCTTATTCCTCCAAACACACTGTGTAGCAAGAGATGACTGTCTGGGCGCCACATGGTGACCCCAAATTGTTTTAATAAAGTTAGTCTTACATTATTCCTTATCAGTGAGTGAAGCAGTGGGAATCTTAGGAATATAGCACAGAGGGTTTGGGAAGCTGAGTATGCCAGACTGTAGGGCCTGTGGTGTTTAGATATATGCTCCCCAAACTGAGGCAAGGCCTCATGTCTAATATTGATTTTTTAACACAGGAAGAGATTTAGAGAGGGAGGTTGAGGGGGAATCACTTCTCATGGAACCAAGGAGCTTCAGGGAAGGTTAAGCTGCCTTCAGAGGGTTATTTAGAATATCTGAGGGGGTGGAGTTTAAAGAAAGAATATTCAATACTATAATTTTAATTTTGTTTTCCAAATCTGAGTTTCTTTTGCTGTAATATAAACTTGAAAATTAAATTCAACAAAATCATTTTTGTTCTTGGAAACAGAAAATACAGCGAGTTTCAAAGGAAACAACAGGGAGTTTGGGGGTTTCTATGGTCCTGCAGGTGGAGACTGCGCTGGAGAAAACCCAGCGTTATTACACCCACGTGGGTGTGGAATGCAGAAGCCTGGTCGCATAATAATACATGATGTTTATTGAGTGTTCTCTGACACTCAACAATAATAGTTAATGTTTGTTGAGTGCTTTATAAATGCAACCATTATAAATGAAGGACCACTCTTGTTTAGTGTTGACGGAGGGTGCAGTGGAAAAACTAAAACACAGTCCGGGAGCCAAAAGTTCACAATAGTGTCAACTCTTTACTTGCTTTGTCAAAAATGGTGACGGGATCCAAATACACTGCACAATGACATTCGTAAAGAGATTTGTTCACCTCTCCAGCCCACTTCCCACAAGCCTTCCCCACAGCACAAGCTGCTCCCAGACATCTTTCTTCCCAGTGCACCTACCACATCCCTCCCTCCCCATCCAGTTTCTGACCCCAAAGAGCAGCAGGGCCAGAAGTCAGTTCTCCCACCTTGGCA